>NT_167246.2:4475321-4677643 GCF_000001405.40 Homo sapiens
GGCCAGAAATGTGTCTAATGAACTTCTCTTACAGCAGGGTATAGAGCAAAAGATTCTTGCACGTCTGCAAGCCCTTGAGGCCCTTGAGGCTGCCCTGGAATATATGGGGGAGTAACAAGATGCACTGGTATTCTAACAGCAACTAAACTGCGACTGGGCGCATAAACATATCTGCGTCACTTCTCTATCATAGAATCAATCAATACATAGTTGGGATGAAGTGAAACAACACCTCTGGGGAACATTTCATGACAATTTAATAGCAGATGTAAAGCAACTTCAAACTAAAATTTTAGAATCCCTTCCCACTATAGATCTACACACCCAACAAACAGCCATATGGAAGGGTGTGCAAGATCATCACTCCTGGTTAGACCCCCACTCCTGGGGTTCACTCTTTGACTGGAAAAGAATATTGCTAATTATTCTCATGATTGTCTTATGTTATTTGCTAATTCTAGGATGCAAAGCCGGAATGAAAGCGATGACTGCCTTGCCTGACAGACGTGTTGCTGCACACATCTGTACACTTCAGTCAACAGAAGAGCGTGTGCACTTATTAGATGAGTGTTGGTATCAATGGATACATGTACATATCTTAGTTTTCCAAATTCAGGGATGTAACTTCTGTTTGCCATAACTGATTAGGTTCTAATCCTCTAGGGTTAACACCTTTTGTGTTAGAACCTGTGAAGTAGAAGTAACTCAGAAGTGCTCCTCAGAGAGTAGACAGCTCTTTCTCTAACCGTTTCCAGCTCAGTAGAATTTAGAAAGGCTTCTAGGAGGCCAACCAGTCTTTTTGATCCAACATTGAATTGTAAAACCGGATATGGAAGCCAAATTTCACAGTGGATGTAACAAAGTAGCTAATGGGTACTATGCTTCTGAGAACCTGAACAGGCCTCTGAGAGCTGTAACTAGAAGAAAAGTAAAGACTCCGGACTCCAGCACCAAGCAGGTTTTCCTTAGCAATTTACAACCTGAAGCTCCAAGGAAAAACTATTTTAGCATACACCAAAACTATTCCCATGTGCCAACAGGTAAGGAGACTTGTACTTATATTCTGTTTTATTCTTCTCTAACTCGTTTCTGTGCACTATTTCTATGTTTTCTCCTTAGTTTTACCTTGCCTGGGTTTGCCCATTTGTTATTCATATCTATTTATCAATCCCAAAATACTAAAAGGATCCAGGCAGGGCAGCTTTAATTGGTGGCTGCACAGAGTGCTACTTCCTGTGAGGCAGCAATTCTAACCCTAGTTGGCATACACTTCAGATTTTCTCAACAGCAGAAGATGTAACCTTCCCAAGAACCCACTTCAACCCTCAGTTCTCTCACTTCTATGTCCACGTGACACTCTGATACATTTTCCCACTATGAAACAGAACTGTTCTCTTGATAGCATGCCATACCTCTCCCTTCTCTGCAACTCACTCAGGACAATCTCAGTACCTTTATTACCTGGTCACAAGTGAGGATGCTTCACACTCAAATCTCATTGGCTGGAGGGAAAGTCATTAAGAAGTGATAATTCTTGTCATCACAGCTTTCTCCAAACCTTCTCCATCGGCATTTTACTCTCACTCTTAGAGCTTAGCTTCAACCATCAAACAGACAGTTGAGTGTTCAACAGTCCCTTTATGGGACAGATTTTTTTAGTTGACTGTGTATTCTAACCCTGAGCAATGGGGCCCCTGGCTAAGAGAGAGAAGGGAAAGCAGAGAGGGAAGTGTTGCAATGCTACCTTTTCAGAGAGGAAATAGAGACAAATAGTTTTTATGGGTGTAATACACAGCCTCCACTGTCCCACAATAAGAGCAATTGAGCTTAAATACCAAAAAGGGCTTTTCTATGTGAGCTGAAAACAGAAAGAGAGAGCAAATGGGAGGATGGGCTGGAGTAATCTTGTTTGAAGTTCTCTCATCCTAAGGAAGAACCTTTTCTTCCTCTGTCATACACGAGTGCTTAGGGCTTACATAAGCCCCATCTGCACGCTGCTAGGAGCAGATCATCCTACTCAAGACAATAAAAAAGGAATCATCATGTACCTTACATATTTAGAGATACGTGAGTACACTTTTCTCATAAATAAAGCAACACACCCCTGCCTGACCTCCTAGGACCTCCATAGTTGAGGTATAGTTATTTGGAGTCAGAGATTCTTAAACCAATCCTGGTTCTGCTTTTTTCACTTCACCAGACCAAACTTGACCAGATTCTTTAATGGCTCCAAAATCACAACCCTTTGAACTATTTTACTCCTGTTTTCCATTTTCCTTTATACCTCTGTCCAGGTGGTACAGATTTTTCTTAAAAATCTATGTCTGAGTGTACAGAGCTTCAAGTAAAGTTCAAGCAGGGAATAGGAGATCTATCACCTTCCTTATTACAGAAATATTGCTGATATTAATGCAGGCTAATGTTATATTAAGTCCCTTGACAGGTATATCAAACTATTTGGTCTTATCCAGTTGGTGGTCAACCAGATAGTTATAAGTGAGATGGAGAGACAGGTCATTCTCTTCCCATAGCCCTCTCTTCCTTACCCTATTTACCCCAAAACGCTGAGGCAGGAAATAATGCATACTCCTTTGTGCACTGCTCCTCCATTTCCCATTTTTAAATGGAGACATACTTAAGGCATAATCTTCAGCCCTTTGCTCATCTCTCTACACTCATTCTCCTGCAGATCTCAGTCACCCTCATGGCATCAATCATGATGCCACAGAAAAACCCATTAGTGTATAGTCTCTGGCTTCATCTCAGTATATGTACTGGGCACATCCGTCTGGATGTTCCGTCATTACCTCAAACTCTGTCCTTAATTTTTTTGTTAGAAACATCTCTTCTCTACAAACCATGCTTTGTGTTCAGCATGCTCATCTGGCATCCAGTTTAAGAAGGATATCTTCTGGCCATGATTTGATTTTTGTATGAAAAAAATCTTTGTTGTAGAAATCAGCATACTATTTTTTTATTATTATTTTTTTATTGATCATTCTTGGGTGTTTCTCGCAGAGGGGGATTTGGCAGGGTCACAGGACAATAGGGGAGGGAAGGTCAGCAGATAAACAAGTGAACAAAGGTTTCTGGTTTTCCTAGGCAGAGGACCCTGCGGCCTTCCGCAGTGTTTGTGTCCCTGGGTACTTGAGATTAGGGAGTGGTGATGACTCTTAAGGAGCATGCTGCCTTCAAGCATCTGTTTAACAAAGCACATCTTGCACCACCCTTAATCCATTCAACCCTGAGTGGATACAGCACATGTTTCAGAGAGCACAGGGTTGGGGGTAAGGTCACCGATCAACAGGATCCCAAGGCAGAAGAATTTTTCTTAGTACAGAACAAAATGAAGTCTCCCATGTCTACCTCTTTCTACACAGACACGGCAACCATCCGATTTCTCAATCTTTTCCCCACCTTTCCCCCGTTTCTATTCTACAAAACCGCCATTGTCATCATGGCCCGTTCTCAATGAGCTGTTGGGTACACCCCCCAGACGGGGTGGTGGCCGGGCAGAGGGGCTCCTCACTTCCCAGTAGGCGCGGCCGGGCAGAGGCGCCCCTCACCTCCCGGACGGGGCGGCTGGCCGGACGGGGGGCTGACCCCCCCCACCTCCCTCCTGGACGGGGCGGCTGGCTGGGCAGAGGGGCTCCTCACTTCCCAGTAGGGGCGGCCGGGCAGAGGCGCCCCTCACCTCCCGGACGGGGCGGCTGGCCGGGCGGGGGGCTGACCCTCCCACCTCCCTCCCGGACGGGGCGGCTGGCCGGGTAGGGGGCTGACCCCTCCACCTCCCTCCTGGACGGGGCGGCTGGCTGGGCAGAGGGGCTCCTCACTTCCCAGTAGGGGCGGCCGGGCAGAGGCGCCCCTCACTTCCCGGATGGGGCGGCTGGCCGGGTGGGGGCCTGACCCCCCCACCTCCCTCCCGGACGGGGCGGCTGGCTGGGCAGAGGGGCTCCTCACTTCCCAGTAGGGGCGGCCGGGCAGAGGCGCCCCTCACCTCCCGGACAGGGCGGCTGGCCAGGCGGGGGGCTGACCCCCCCACCTCCCTCCCGGACGGGGCGGCTGGCCGGGCGGGGGGCTGACCCCCCCACCTCCCTCCCGGACGGGGCGGCTGGCCGGGCGGGGGGCTGACCCCCCCACCTCCCTTCCGGACGGGGCGGCTGGCCGGGCGGGGGGCTGACCCCCCCACCTCCCTCCCGGACGGGGCGGCTGGCCGGGCGGGGGGCTGACCCCCCCACCTCCCTCCCGGACGGAGTGGCTGGCCGGGCAGAGGGGCTCCTCACTTCCCAGTAGGGGCGGCCGGACAGAGGCGCCCCTCACCTGCCGGACGGGGCGGCTGGCCGGGCGGGGGGCTGACCCCCCCCCACCTCCCTCCCGGACGAGGTGGCTGCCGGGCGGAGACGCTCCTCACTTCCCAGACAGGGCGGCTGCTGGGCGGAGGGGTTCCTCACTTCTCAGACGGGGCGGTTGCCAGGCAGAGGGTCTCCTCACTTCTCAGACGGGGCGGCCGGGCAGAGACGCTCCTCACATCCCGGACGGGGCGGCAGGGCAGAGGTGCTCCCCACATCTCAGACGATGGGCGGCCAGGCAGAGACGCTCCTCACTTCCCAGATGTGATGGCGGCCGGGAAGAGGCGCTCCTCACTTCCTAGATGGGATGGCGGCAGGGCAGAGACGCTCCTCACTTTCCAGACTGGGCAGCCAGGCAGAGGGGCTCCTCACATCCCAGACGGGGTGGCGGCCGGGCAGAGGCTGCAGTCTCGGCACTTTGGGAGGCCAAGGCAGGCTGCTGGGAGGTGGAGGTTGTAGCGAGCCGAGATCACGCCACTGCACTCCAGCCTGGGCACCATTGAGCACTGAGTGAAGGAGACTCTGTCTGCAATCCCGGCACCTCGGGAGGCGGAGGCTGGCGGACCACTCTCGGTTGGGAGCTGGAGACCAGCCCAGCCAACACAGCGAATCCCCATCTCCACCAAAAAAATACGAAAACCAGTCAGGTGTGGCGGCGCGCGCCTGCAATCGCAGGCACTCGGCAAGCTGAGGCAGGAGAATCAGGCAGGGAGGTTGCAGTGAGCCCTGATGGCAGCAGTACCGTCCAGCTTCGGCTCGGCATCAGAGGGAGACTGTGGAAAGAGAGGGAGAGGGAGACCAGGGGGAGAGGGAGAGGGAGACCGTGGGGAGAGGGAGAGGGAGAGACACTATTTTTTAAAATATGGAGAGAAGATATTCTGGTGACTGAAAGTGTGGTCTGGTGTCAGATATAAATGTGCAAATGCCTTCTTGCTGTCCTGTCGGTCTCAGTACATTCACCTTATAGCTGCTGGAAATATCGAAGGTTCCTTTTTTGTTTGTGTAAACTCTAATTTCTATCAAGGTGTCATGGACTTTTAAAATTAGTATTTCATTACAAATGTCTCAGCATTGGTCAATTTTTGCCAGGACCATTATTGATCAAGCAAATAAATTCAACAGCCATTAGGAAAAAAAAAGAAGGCCATCTTCTTTTTTCAATAAATGTATTATATAGTTAATAGTTTCATTTATATAGAATGCATAGAAACTGTTCACAGAATGTCCAGCATTTTGTATTTTTGCAGTAGGGAACATTTCTTCACTGAATTCCACTTTCACATTAGATAATTTAATAGTTTTATGGAGAAAGTAAAATGCCCGCCCCCCTCCCCCACCCAAAATTGAAAATTTCAGTTGTTGGTTTTCATGGACACACCTTATCAGGTAATTCCTTTTTATTCCTAGTTTTCTAGGACTTTTTATCATGAATGAGCAAATGCCTTTTTCTGCATCCATTTACATAATTACATAATTTTTCTTTTGTATTCTGTTAAGATGTGGAATCACATTGATTTTTTGCATGTTAAACATGCCTTCCATTCCTGGCATAAACTTTTATGATCATGTTATATCATCCTTTTTAATATATTATTGAATTCAATTTTAAAAAATATTTTGTTAAACATTTTCATGGCTATGTTTGTGTGTCTTTAGTTTCCTTTTCTTTTAATGTCATTGTTTGGTGTTAGTATATTGGACTTGTAAATTATTGGGATGTGTTTTCTTCTGCTCTTTTGTTGAAAGAGTTTGTATTGAGTTTGTATTGTTTCTTCCTTAAATGTATAATAGAATTAATCATACAGACATTAAAAGTATTATGACAGTATTATGACAGAATACTATGGATTAATCAATGAAGCCATCTGACCTGGAAACCATTTGGCCTTCTCTGTGAGAAGGATTTTTAAAATTACAAACTTAATTTCTTCCATTGACAGAGATTTCTTCTTGATTTAGTTTTGGTAATTTGAATCGTTCAAGAAATGTTTCTATTTCATGTTGTTAAAATAAAAATTTTAGAGAAGTTGAATTTAACAGAGTTTATTTAGCAAAGAACAATTCATGAATTGGGGAGCCCTCAGAACCCAGAAAGATTCAGAAAGCTCTGTCCAGCAACATGTGAAGGCAGTGTTTATAGATAAAAACAGGAAGTGATACTCAAAACCAGCCAATTTATTACAGCTCAGTGTTTGCCTTATATGGGCATGGCGTGATGAGGCATTTGCCTTATGGGGGACATAATATGATCACTTGGCAGCCTGTGATTGGCTGAGACTCAGCTATTTATTACAACACTCTTAAGTTAGGCTGTAGTTTGTTTGCATAACGCAGTTATGTTAAGTTGGGTTAGTTTGCTCTGTAGGAATTTAAGATATGGAGAAAGCTTTACACCAAATTTAATTTAATTTAACAATGTAAATTGTCAAATTTATTGTCATTTTTGTTTATTGGCATTTTCATAGCATTCTGTCATAATACTTTTAATGTCTGTATGATTTGTTGTGACGTACCCACTTCCATTTCTGATATTGGGGATTTGAGTCTTATCTCTTTTTCTTGATCCATCTAGCTAGAGATTCATGAATGTATTGAGCCTTATTGAAAACCAGCAATTGACTTTGTTTATTTTCTTTATTGTTTGTCCATTTTATTGCATTTATTTCTGATCTTATTAATCTTGGGATTCATTTGACTTTTTTTTTCTAGCTTCTTAAGATGGGAACATAGATGGTTGATTTTAGAGTTTCCCTCCTTTCCAATTATGTAAAGTTATAAATTATTCTCTAATTAGTGTATCATACTAATTTTGATACAGTGTGCTTTCATATTCACTCAGTTCAAAATATTTTCTAATTTTCCTTCTGACTCTTTTTAAATCCAGGTGCTGTTTAGCAGTATACTTTTTAATTTCTAGGTATTTGGGACTTTCAAGGTATTTTTCTGTTATTGGTTTCTAATTTAATGCTATTGTGGTCCGAGAATGTATTCTGTATGATTTCAATAGAGACATTTATTTATTTAGACATTTATTTATATGTGTTTATGACCCAGTGTATAGTCTGTCCTGTGGAATATTCTTGAGCATTTGAAAATAATGTGTATTCTGCCACTATTGGGTGGAATATTCTACAAATCTTGATTAGATCACGTTGGTTCATTGATAATGTTATTTAAATCTATCATGTCCTCATGAAGTTTTTTCCTAAATATTTTATTGTTTACTGAGTGCTAGAATACTAAAATATAATTGTGAATTTGTCTATTTCTGATTTATTTTTATCATTTTTGGTATAATGTGATTTAAGACATATTTTCTAAGAACAAACACATTTAGGATTGTTATATGTTGATAATAAAATGATCCTTTTATCATTATGAACTATCCTTCTTTCTCCTTGGTAATATTTCTGAGTCTTATATTTCTGATATTAACACAGCCACCAATACTTCCATGGTTGGCATTATTTTCGTTTTTTTTTTTTTTACTTTAAGTTCTGGGATACATGTGCAGAATGTGCAGGTTTGTTACATAGTTATACATGTGCCATGTGGTTTGCTGCATCTATCAACCCATCATCTAGGTTTTAAGCCATGCATACATTCGGTATGTGTCCTAATGCTCTCCCTCCCCTTGCTCCCCATGCCCTGACAGACCCTGGTGTGAGGTGTTCCCCTCCCTGTGTCCATGTGTTCTAATTGTTGAACTCCCACTTACGAGTGAGAACGTGTGGTGTTTGGTTTTCTGTTCCTGTGTTAGTTTGCTGTGAATGATGGCTTCCAGCTTCATCCATGTCCCCACAAACAACATGAACTCATTTTTTTATGGCTGCATAGCATTCCACGGTATACATGTATTTTCCCATTCTTTTACTTTTTACCTGTCTTTGCCTTCATATTTAAAGAGGGCATTATGTAGAGAGCATGAAGTTGGCCTGTAGATTTTTTTGTGCATTCTGACAATCTTTCCCTTTTCATTAGAATATTTAGGCCATGTGCATTTAATTCAATTATTAGTATGGTTGTTTTAAACTCTACCATCTTACAGTTTGTTTTCTTTTTGTCTTACCAGACTTTCCCTTTTTTATTTCTTTATTTTGAATTAATTATGCTTAGTGTTCTATTTTATCTTCTCCATTGGCCTCTTGGCTATACCTCTTTTTTTTTCAATAGTTATCAGGAGCTTAAAATATTCATCTTAATACATTCTACCTTCAAATAATAACACACCACTTAACATGTATAAGAAACTTACAACATTATACTTCCATTTCTCCCTTCTATTCTTTGTGCCATTGTCATCATATTTTACTTCTGGGTATGTTATAAACCCCCAAATAATTTTTACTTTAAACAATTCCTTTTTTAACTTAAAAAAAACTAGAGAACATGTTTTTATATTTATCTGAATTTTTACCATTTCATGCTTTTTTCATCGTAATATCTAATGAACACTCATAAAGAAACAAAATCCTTGCTCAAATAAGATATTTTTCTTCATAATCATCACTATTCTCAAACCTTTGAAAGCTCTGGTAATCATGATTTAAGTTCTCCCACATGGAGTGACTATGGCTGGTAAAAATTGCAATGAATTAGGGCATTTTAAAAAATTTATTTCTTGGCTCTTAGTTTATCATGTAGAAAAATCCTCCATGAAATATTGCTATAATTACAATACAGCCTTGGGAAGGAAGCTCAGGGGCTGTGAATGGAATCCTAATCTGCCTGAAATCTTGATCCAGACAGACCAAATCTCTTCCCTCAGAGACTTCAAACACTGCAGTCTTCAAACTACATCCAAGAAAATCTTCATCCAAGTAAAATTTCCCCCAAATATCCTTTCTCTACCCCACCCTATCCTGTAGTTAGGGAAAAACCCAGGACTGAATCAATATCCTCAGACCTTTCCGTTCAAGTGGGATCAGAACCTTTAGTAACCACATCGGCAACAGAGGTTGAAACCACACCTTCAAGAAATAGTATTCACATGTGACCTGGTCCTAGACTTCCAGTAAGAATGACTCAGAGTCTCCCCGCTCTGAAATACTGAAGTATTTATTGGTCTTAGGGTATTCTCGGGAAGGTGACAGTGAGGGGCTCTTCAAAGGAGAACAGAGGATAAAAGGCTCAATGAAAGGATAATCTCCATATTAGTGCTACCAAAGTGTCATTAATTTCTATTTGTTGGAAACTTTACTAAGGAATGACTGCTTTGAGGTAATGGATAAGGACAGAGCTTGAAGGGTCAGCAATTCAGTCAGCCACTGGAGTAGTTTTCACATGAAGTGAGAAGAAAAGCTGAGATGGAGTTTGTAGGGCAGCTGGAGTTCAGATCTCTCCTAAGTCCTCTTCTGTTCAGATATTTTGTCACCTGCAGCAACACACACAGTTATTGTCATTCCTGGGTTCAGTACTGTAAGCCCGGACCCATCTTCCCCACTCCCTTTGCACCCGAGCTTCCCATTTCTCTGCCCTGTTCAGGTCCCAGGGAGAAGGTGGTCATCCCTGCACATGCCCTGGCCCTCCAGGTGAAGAGCACATAGGAGCCAAGGAGTTCACGAAAGTCATTGAATTTCACCCTCAAACCCCAGCTGACTGTGAGGCCATCCCACATGCTTCATGTCTCCAAAATATACAGACAAGGGGAAGGGCCACATTACTGAGGGCAGAGAAGAAGCTTAACCCTGGAATGAGAATTGGAAGGGACAAATATCCAAACCATATCAATGACGGCAATGAACGAAGGATACTTGCTCACATTGTGTATACTGCTCTTTGAAAGGATTTCAAAAACCAAGGTAAATTTTCTAAAATGACCTCTGTTGAACATCTGACAGCAGTACTTCCTCCTTCCTGAATTCTTTAATTCCTTGGCTCATGTGACAGCATATTCTCCTAATTCTTCTGCTTCTCTGCTTCTCCATTTTTGTTAAATACTCCTCTTTGGATGTTTTGTTAATCATGTATCTTTGCATTAATTTTGCCTTTTCAAGATATTTCATTAAAATATGATTTATTACTGAGTTCTTTTGGTATCCCCCAAATTTTGCACCTAAGCCAAGTGCATCCCCTACATCACCCTAGTCCCAGCCCTCTTTTCCATTCTTCCTCTTAACATCTGACATTCTACATTCACTTCACTCTGTTACAAATCATTATAGATATAATTATAAATGTGTGTGAACTAAGAAAAATAAACAAGAATTTGTCCTACTGGATACTAACACACACTACAATGTCATAGTAATCAAAATACTAGGACACTGGCACAAGAAGAGACAAACAGAACAGTGGAACAAGATGGAACTCAGACACAGGCCCACCTATAATGGGAGCTTTCAGTATAGCAAAGGAGACACTACTAACCTATGGGGAAAAGGTGAACTATTTAGTAGTTGTGGGAACACACTGGCCCATTATATAAAGAAAAATAAAACATGATCCCCATCAAACACAAAGATGAATCCCAGATGAATTAAAGTAGTAAATGTGAAATTTAAAACTGTAGGAGATGTTTTAAGAGTATCTTTGATATCTCAGTATAGGGAAGACTTCTTTTAAAAAAGACACACAAACAAAAATACAGTTGATGGACTTCATTACAAAATATTAAGGATTTCTCTTCAATAAAGGAAACCAAGGAGACAGTTGCCAGAAGTCAGATTAGAGGAAAACATTTGCAATGCCTAAAACTGACAAGGGACTACTAGCAGGACTATATAAGGATCACCTGCAAATCAATAAGAAAATGATGGAAGCACATAGTACAAAAATGGACAATGAATGTGAACAGGCAATTTATAGAAAAGGAACCCCCAAGTGGCTAATCAGTCCTAATTATAACCCCAATTATTAGTAATTAAAGAAATGCAAAATAAAACAGCATATTTCTTTATGCACATGAAATTGGCAAAAGTTAGAAAACTGGATAATGTCCAGTGTTGAAGTCCATTTAGGAGTTGCAGGACAATTAGAGTACTGACAAAGGAAGTTCAGATGAGTACAGCCATTCTGATGAGAAGATGAGCAGTGTTTAGTCAAATTAAGGAGCTGCATCTCCAGCAACCCTGCAACCCCTTTCTAGGATACATACATTCCAGGGATGCAGGTCAGGCCCACATGTATATGCAGTTCCATGTGAGATACAAGCATTGCTTGCAATAGTAGAGAACCAGGAATGATCCAGGTATCCCAGGAGCAATGTAGATATGTGGATTAATATGATTTGGATATTTGTCACTTCCAAGTCTCATGTTGAAAATTGATCCCCAGTGTTGCAGGTGGGGCCTGGTGGGAGGTATTTGAATCATGGAGGAGACCCTCATGAATGGCTTTGTCCCCTCTCCGGGTAATGAGTGAGTTCTCACTCTATTAGTGCACATGAAACCTGGTTGTTAAAAAGAGGCTGGCACCTCTTTCTATGTCTCTTTCTCCCTCTATGACCATGTGATGCACTGGCTCCACTTGCCTTCCACCATGAGTAAAAGCTTCCAGAATCCCCCAACAGAAGCAGATGCTAGTGCCATGTTTCGCGTACAGCCTGCAGATCTGTGAGCCATTTAAAGCTCTTTTCTTCGTAAATTAGGTAACTTCAGATATTCCTTTATAGCAATGCAAAATGGACTAATGCATGGACATATAAAGTAAAATACTATGGAAGATTTGGAAGAAACAAACTGGATGTACAAAATTAGATCTATAATTTAATGCCATTTTGGTTAATTAAAAATACATGTACACTGGACACTACTACATATTACAGAGGATCTATGCAAATAAAAGGAAACATCAAATTCATTAAAATGTTTACCTATGAGGTAGGGGTAAGAGGTTAGATATGGGAGTAAGGACTGGAGATAAAAGGGACCAAATAAATCAAGGGAGAGAGAGAGAGCTCGGAGGCACCAATGATGATCATATAATGAACTGAGAAGTTCTTAACCTTTTGTACCTGAGGTCCAGCATGAATAACAATAATAATAATGAATTAGATGTGGTCATCTGCATGGAAGTTCACTGTCTAATGCTAAGAGAATTCCCAAAACATATAAAAATATAAAGCATGGTGAGTGTTATGATAAATAGAAACCTGTAAGATCTCTGGAGGGGCATTTTTTGTGTGAACATTGCCATGGAATGAGTCCAAGTAGAGACAGTAAGTAGTTACAGGCACCCACCACACTGTGTTGTAATTATGTATAGAAATATAGATCTGACTCCATTATTTGGCAATGGACTCTGGAGAATTTGAACTTGGTCTTTTCCTTCACAAAATAGGGTGAATAGGACAGTGGATAAACAGTCTTGGATCCAGACTTTCTGGATTGGAAGCTAGCCCTACTACTTCATAGCTGTGGGAACTTGATCAAAGTGCTTAAAGTCTCTGTGTATGTAAAAAGATGTAAGTATCTCTCATGTGAAATAGTGAAAATAATAGTACCTACCTCAAAGACTATGTGTGAGAATAAAGTGAGTTAATAAATGTAAATCCTCAGAATAGCGCCTGACCATATTAACTACTCAGTTAGTTATCGGTGTTGTTGTTGTTATGTGGCTGAATGCTTTTAACCCATTAGAAGATCAATGAACACTTATCAGATTGAATTTTTCCTCCCTTCCTTACATTCTACAAATCCTAGGGCCTCCTCTTTACATTCCCACCTTTACAGTATTTCACAGGGTCCCCTGGGCCCGGGGGTCATGGCCAGAACGCAGAGACTTTATGATGAGGACGGTGCCCACGATGATGCCGACTAGGCCCAGCACCAGGCCCAGGGCACAGAGCACAGTCTCCGTTGTCTCAGGCATCTGGATTGGCTCTTGGGCCTCTGGGGGAAGAATGAAGAGATAGGGTCAGGAGGTGCAGTGAGGGTGGTGATGGCCTGGGATGGTTGTGGGAATTGAAGGTTATGGACCAGTTAATTGGATGTTAGGACGAGGAGAGGACTGAGACCCAGCCAGTGCGGAAAGCTGGTGCAGAGGACACCAGGTCTTTGGAATAGAGGATGCCAGGAGATTATGGAGAGAAAAGCAGTTGCATACCCCAGTGCTTGAGGAGCGGCTGGTCCAAGCCCCAGTGCTCCACCCTGCAGTCATAGAAGTCCTCTGCTGAGGGCACAAAGGTCAGGTAATGGAACTTGTGGAAGCTGTAATCTGTTCTGGGCAGGAAGAGGCTCTCAGCGACACCCTCAGTGACCAGCTCCCCGTTGCACAGCCACGTGACGTTGAGCACTGGTGGGAAGAACTTGTCAATGTGGCAGATGAGGGTGTTGGGCTGGCCCAGCTCCACAGGCTCCTTGGGAAACACGGTCACCTCAGGGGGATCTGGAAGGAGACAGCACCAGGTTAGGCCCCTCTTCTGGGATGAATCACAAAGGCTCCACCTCTTAGGGGAGGGTGGTCCTCTACCTCAGCCTTAGATTTTATGGCAGCTCTGAATCACAGACAGGGGTATCACACCACTGACCAGCCTCACTCTGCTCACCTTTCTCTCTCCTGAGAAGAGAGGATGCAAGCCCTTGCTGTAGTGGGATCAGCCCATGGCCACTAGGGGAAGAGGATCACACAGCAGGGGGCACTTAGGCTTCCTAGTCTGAGGGTGGCAGAGAGGCCCTCTCATCCCTTCCAGTTGGGCTACAGAGGAAGAGGCAAAGATAGGGCGTACCGTTGGTGGCCTGAGTGTGGTTGGAACGCTGGATCAAGGTATTCAAGTTGTTGTTCAATATAGCAATGTTAGCCAGCCCGCCCTGAGCCTCAAAGGAAAAGGCTTGGCCAAACTCCTCCAGATGCCAGACGGTCTCCTTCTTGTCCAGATCCACATAGAACATCTCATCTTCATCAAATTCAAACATAAACTCCCCTGTTGGTCTATGCGTCTGTACAAACGCGGCATAAGTTGACACATGGTCCGCTGCATAAAGACAGTAGAGAAAAACACGACAAAATGTCAGTTTGAATATGCAAGTGGTCAAAGCTAGAGAATGAATAAAGACTTATGAATATAAAAAGGAAGAAGGTAAGAGGTCAAAGGAAGGACATATGGGGAAGAAGAAGGAGCAACACCATAAAGGAAATAATACAGAGCAGATGAGCAGTTATAAAAAGAAAGGAGCAAAGAACAAAATGAAAAGTTTATCACTGATAAGTCAAGCTGCTTCCTGGTCTTTGAAAGTCTGGGCATCCTGACCCTACACAATAGTAATAGTAACAATGACAGCTAACATTTGTTGAGCACTTACTTGTGCCAGGCATCCTTCTAAATACTTTACATATTTCAGTCGCTGAATTGTCACAATAACCCTATGAAGCAAATACATATCATACATTTTACAGGTAAGGAAATGCAGGGAAGTTACATATTAATAACTTGCTAAGGTCATACGGCTACTGGCGGAACTAGTAGAGAGGTTTTCTCTCCCATTAAGATCTTAATTTTTCTATGACACAGATGTAAAATTGTTTTTAGAGTCATGGGGGTGGGGGAATGGACATTTTCTTTTTCTTATTATAGAAAAGGTAGAAAAAAATACAAAATTGAGAGGAAGAAGAAAATATCCTTCAAATTTTAGGGCTCTTGACAGTTTTAAAGTTTCTGTCTTAGTTTATGAACATGAAACTGTAGAATGTATAGCTTTGTTGATAATATTTTTCATTTGGGGCATATAAATTCAAAAGTACAGTACAGTTATTTTGGCATTTGTTCCAAACTTTTGTTTCCTTTTTAAAAATATTTCAACATTTATTTTATGTTCAGGAGTACATGTGCAGGTTTGTTGTATAGGTAAACTCATGACTTGGGGGTTTAGTGTACAGATTATTTCATCACACAGGTACTAAGCATTCTAAACTTTTCTTACATTTATATTTTGATTTTTGTTTTAGAGGCCAACTAGAAATTATTGCTGAGTTTGGAACACCTGTAGGATTTAATTTATTTTGTTTCTTAGTCTTTATTAGTTTGTAAGAATTAGCAAAGATAAGAGGATAAAAGCAACTATTATCATGAAAGAAAACGATGAATGTGTATGTGAAAGTCTGGGTTTAGAATGATAAATGCATCAGAGTGAGAAGGAACTACGGGACTCTTCTGCTCTCACCTCCCAACTCACAGATTTCCCTGTGAGTTTTCAGCCCTGACATGTGGGGACCCAGTCTGTGCTTGGCCACTTACAGTGACAGGAGAATGACTCCTTGCCACTGTAATTGTAAGTGTCTAGAGGGTATGACCTGTGTCTTATTTTTCACTGAGAATGACTCCCTGACACAGTAAGTGGCCAAGCAAAGAGTGGTATTTGAAACTAAACAAAACAAATCCTATAGGTATTTCACTAGGAAACTTAGCTTGCTCCTCAGTTTAAAGGACTCAAAGGACTCATCAGGAAAAAGAGGGTAAAATAAAAAGACACAAAGTCCTCTAGCAGTTATTGGAAACTCATCTTCTTAATACATGAATGTCCCTTGTACTTTTTAAAATGCTTTTTAAAAAACACTTTCACAAGTTCTGCAGTCCAAAGATCAGCCAGCTATGGAACAGATTATTTTTCTTCAAAATATCATTTCCATTCAGACAAAAATATGTATTAAAAGACTACTATATGTCAAACACTGTTAGATGCTAAATACCCAAATAAAAATAATACATACGTCCTGTTCTGCAGACGCGTATAAGTCACAGAAGGAAACACAAGTGACAGGACAACAGCAGGTTCAGAAGGATAAGTGCAGATACGTAGGTATACACAAGATGCGACCAAACAGCACATCAGGGAAGGCTTCCTGGGGAACAGATGGCTTCAATGTAGGCATTCAGAAAACAGGGCAAAAGCCACTTCTCTCAGGGAAGACAGCCTGACCGGGAGAAGATACTGAGTTCACTGTGGGGCTATTGCACTTAGAAGACCTGAAAGTCATCTAAGGAGAAATAATACATAGATATTTGTGGATTATGGGTGGTCTCAGGAGAGGAATTTAGGCCATAGAACTGAGAGTCATTAGTGGCAGGTGCAGGTTAAATAAGATTTTCCAGGAAGAGTGCCAAAAATCAGAATTGCCGAGATCTCAGGGTATAATGAGAGAACATGATAGTTAAGAGGTGGTTTAAAAGATGATAAGGAGGATCCAGGTAAACAGGAGAAAAATAAGGACAGGGTAGTTCATCAGAAAGAAGTGGATTATAGTGCAAATGTTATTAGTAACTCAAGTCAGAGGCACTGAGAAGAACCCACTGAATTTGACCTTCTGTAGAGGTTCCTGATGGCCAAGATGAGAGGATCCTCAGGGATGTACCAGAGACAAGTCAGAAGCTTAGCTCCACGTGTGAGGACACAAAGAAAGTGTCTCTGGGACAGGATGCAGACTGAAGGCAAGGTTGTTTTTTATCAGTTGGTTTGCACTTATGTTTTTAAGGTAAATGACATGTTTAAATGTTAAGAGACTGGGCAGGGAAGCCCTGAAGAGACAGCTGAGCTCATTAGGAATTTCTACCAAGAATACTAAAAAGTATTTGCATCTATGAAGAGAAGCCTATTGTGGTGTTTATTATAACATAACATTAGAAATAACTCAGGTGACCGCGAACAGGGCAATAGATACTTCTGGTTCTACCCAGCCTGACCTCCTCTTTATTCTACACATCTTAAATAAAACTGTCTGAAGCCAGTGTGCATCTTGTACGTTATGGATTCTAACCTTCCCCATCACTAGATTTTGGAATGACAGCATCATGCACAGGCTTGATGTCATTCTCCCTGATTTCAGCTACAGGAAAAAGGAGCATTCACTACGGTCCATCTCTGGCTGAGTCCTTGCAGCTATCAAAAGTCTAGGCCTCCCTTGCAGTCCTGAATCTCTCAGAACCCGAATCACAAGGCTATCAAGACCATGCAACCCTGCTGTCTTGAGAGAGGAAAGCTTGTGACCACCCACAAAGACCCAGGAAGAGCCCTAGGGTCCTAGAAGAGAGGGAGGATACAGAAACACTCTTTGCACTTCGTCTCCTAATGCAGAGTCCATAGCTCGGAGTTCCTGTAAAGCAGCCACAAAAGATAGAGGCTGGGGATCCCAGAGAGATAGGAGGGCCCTGATAGTAGGTCACTGTGTGCAGGAATCTGGGGAAGGCAGTGTATGACCCTCAGAGCTGGGTCTGGACTTCAAACTTGGCTCGTTGATCTGCTGTGTAACCTTGGAAAACTTATTCATCTTTTTGAGCTTCAGTTTTTTCAAAATAATTTCTAAATAAAAGGAATAATTTCTAAATGAATGGAATATTATCTTCATTGAAGATTCCTGTGAGATGTAAATGGGGAAAGAAACTATGCAGGAGTCTCATAAATTCTGGCTGTTATTGCTGTTATTATTATGAGGGCCAGAGGGAACATAGACTATGAGGACCAGATAGATCAATGAGCCCCTAAAATCTGTGATCCCTGAAGCAGCAATTGATGTGAACCACCCCATCACTCACCCCGACGCTCCTGCGTCCTCCTGAGCACTCACCCTTGATGGCCCCAGCTCCTCGGAGACTCAGCAGGAAAGCCAAGGAGAGGGCTCTCAAGATCACAGCTCTGATATGGAACATTCTGTCTTCAGGGCGCATGTTGTGGGGTCTATAATTGATGACTGTGAGCACAGGAACAGTGATGAGGAACTGAGGCCGAGTGGAGGCAGATGAGACTGAAACTGTGGGCCTCTAGCACTGGAAATGGGTGGAGAGGAATCAGCATGGCTGGGATTCACCTATCAGAGAAATCATAGAGCTGACATTCTCTGTTGCTGGGTAAAGAGGACGCTGGAAGGTGCTGGGGAAGAGATGGGAGAATTTTAGGTACCAGCGTGGTCAAGAGAGCTCCAGTTCACAGTTCATTTTCAGAGTTAGAGAAAGAGATGTAAAAAGATAAGTTACACCTTCTTCTGACGGCAAATGTTTTCCATTATGTTCCTTCTCCCGAGCCCCACCCCCATCCCAGACAGTCAGATGATCTTCGATGTTTTTTGGTCACTATATTTTAAATCATGTTTTATGTTATGTTGTCAATATTTTACAAAAATATTCTGCTGATAATTAAGAATGAATGTGCTATCTAATAAAATATATAATTAATCTTTCTTTCAGGTCCACCTCCCTGAGATACCTCCTTTTTATTTAATCATTTCTGCAGAAGTGTTATAATTTCTATTTAGAGGTTTTAATTAACTTGAATGAAGTTGATCTTTAATTGTTTATCTATTCCTGGTTACCTTTGTTAGTGAAATTTCTAGATAATTTTTATTTTTCAGATTTCTTAGTATTTGATTTTTCCTGGTATTTAAACAGTGTAATAACATTTTTATCTTTAAATTACTAGTCTTGTTATTTCATTTTCATATAAGAATACCCAGGACAGCATTACCTGTGGTAACAATGTGCGCCCATATTTTGATCTTGTTTTTAAGAAGGGTTTCTCTAATGTTTTTCTGTTACAGGTAATGTTAATTTTTTATTTTATATTCTCTTTACCATATTTAAGAAATACTTTTCTAGTCTCATTTTAAATATTTCAATTTTGAGCTATTTATTTGATACTCATAGAGAAGGTCACAAAACATTTACTATTTAATGTAATGATGAAGTACATATATTACGTTAATATTTTATCTTATTTGTGGTAGCCTTACCTTGCATAAATAATAATTACTAACAGATTAGGACATGAGAGATTCTGTTATTAGTGCTTTGCATGCATTACCTCATTTAAACCTCATATTAAACCTGAGGGAGGTATTATTAATGTCTACTGTAAAAATAAATTACCTGAGACATCGAGGAAGTATTTGTCTAATTATCTATGGCAGGTAAATGACAAGGAGAAAAGTCCCACCCAGGCAGTTACTAAAAAAACTGAGTTTTTCTCCACAATCCTCTCCTGGCCCCTTAATCCTACTAGACACCTTCTACTACATAATTATTTTCTTCTCTTGCATTTTACATGCTAGCCTTCTATTTACATTTTAATATTGATTTAAAGAAATGATGCCAATTTGATTTTTTTTGAAATTAGAATTGGTGGTCCAACAGGATCACATTTATAAGTGTCTAAAGTAAGAAGTAATGTTCTTTGAAAGTTTGTAAAAATATTCACTCTAAACAAAATAGAATCAGATGCTTTGAAGGAGGTGGGGTCTTTGATGATTTTTTTTCACTTTCTTCCTTATTTACCAGTCAATTTATATTCTCTATGGACTTTATTTTTCCAAAGCAATTTCAGACCTATTGATCTCATTTGATCTTAAGAGCTTTGCTATAAGGCAGGTTATATCATCCCCATATTGAAGACAAGGAATCGAAGTCCAAGAGAGGCAGTGTCGTTAAAGCTGCATATTTACATGGTAGGGTAGGTGGTGTGTCCACGCTCCCAGTGTAAGGTCCCTAGACTGAGCCCTCCTGACCCTGATGACAGTCCTGTGGAAGAACCTGGTAACTCCTGCACATCGCAGGACTCACAGACCTCTGGGAGAAAGTAAATATGAATGGGTGCTAATCTTAAACACACCCTTGGACAAAGGCAAGACAGACAGACTCAGACCTCATTTGAGTTCTGAGATGGGTACTCTAATCCCTCTAAGTCATGCCACTGAATGACCTTTTACACACTAAGATAGCACTTTTTCCACAACAGACCATGTCCTGTGGGTGTGTGAGGTGTGGCAGAATTGGGGAAATGATAATCCCTGTAGATGGGCCAGCAGAATATTTGAGATCACCTTCAGAGCAAAGAAAACGCATAATCTCGCCAAACATCATGACTTATCTGACTGGTTAAAATGAGTATCACTGTCTTTCCTCCGTCATCTTAAGTGCATCACAGGCTTTATATTTTCAGACCTTTCATACTAACTTTCTGCCTAGTGAGCAATGACTCATACAAAGCTCAGTGTCCATTGGTTCTTTTCTCAGACTCTGTCCAATCCCAGGGTCACAGAAGACTACTTGGGTTCATGGTCTCTAATATTTCAAACAGGAGCTCCCTTTAGCGAGTCCTTCTTTTCCTGACTGCAGCTCTTTTCATTTTGCCATCCTTTTCCAGCTCCATGATGGTTCTGCAGGTTTCTGCGGCCCCCCGGACAGTGGCTCTGACGGCGTTACTGATGGTGCTGCTCACATCTGTGGTCCAGGGCAGGGCCACTCCAGGTAAGAGCCGAACTGCCATTCTTGGAGGGTCTGGCTCAGGGAACAATTCCTAGGGGACGTTATCTTTAAGGGATCAAATTCTGAGACAGGCTGCGGGGGCTCCTGCCCTAAGGCAGTGTCCTCTCTTCCCAGCTAGAGAAAGAGGTTCATCCCCTATAGGATAGCTTGCTACCCTACTGGCCTATTCTCTCTCCAAGGACATGGGTACAGTAAACAGAGAGAGGTGCCCAGTGGTCAGTATGCTTGTCTTTGGGGAAAATGGGACCAAGAGGTCCTGGATAACCTTGGACAGACAAGGTTTGCAGAGAGAGAAGTTGGCAAGTGCAGGCTCCTGGGCGTGTTCATGTCTGCATCCAGCCTGGAGGGGACTCAGGCAGAGAGCCCTAAGCTGGAGTGTCCAGGCTCTGAGGATCACTGAGGATTCAGTGCTCACGAAGAATGCCTCTTATTCCCCAGGGTGGAGCAGGAGCCCACATCCCTTGGACAATTAAGGAGAGAAGGGAGGGAGGGGGATAGGTTTTAGCCCCTGAAGGCATTCTCATTAAAGGTACTTCTCCCAGCCTCCCCAGAACTTGGTTAGGGTACTAGAGTGGGTTGCGACTTGTAGGAAGAATGAGATGAGGTTGTGTGGGTGCATGACAGGGATTGAGTGTAGGTTATCAGACAGCCAAGGAAGCAGTAACCAAGTGAAAAATCTCTTCTTCCTGCTGCCTCCCTGTGGCTGGTGTAATATTATGGCATCTATGATCCATTGTTTTTCTCTCAGGATACTCTCAGGATATTTCTTTTTATATATATATATACTTTAAGTTCTAGGGTACATGTGCACAACGTGCAGGTTTGTTACATATGTATACATGTGCCATGTTGGTGTGCTGCAC
The DNA here is from genome assembly GCF_000001405.40 of Homo sapiens. NCBI lineage: Eukaryota > Metazoa > Chordata > Mammalia > Primates > Hominidae > Homo > Homo sapiens. The sequence continues at coordinate 4,496,720 of NT_167246.2, forward strand.
CCATTAACTCGTCATTTACATTAGGTATATTTCCTAATGCTATCCCTCCCCCCTCCCCCCACCCCACAACAGGCCCCGGTGTATGATGTTCCCCTTCCTGTGTCCATGTGTTCTCATTGTTCAGTTCCCACCTATGAGTGAGAACATGTGGTCTTTGGTTTTTTGTCCTTGCAATAGTTTGCTGTGAATGATGGTTTCCAGCTTCCTCCATGTCCCTACAAAGGACATGAACTCATCCTTTTTTATGGCTGCACAGTATTCCATGGTGTATATGTGTGCATTTTCTTAATCCAGTCTATCACTGATGGACAGTTGGGTTGGTTCCAAGTCTTTGCTATTGTGAATAGTGCCGCTATAAACATATGTGTGCATGTGTCTTTATAGCAGCATGATTTATAATCCTTTGGGTATATACCCAGTAATGGGATGGCTGGGTCAAATGGTATTTCTAGTTCTAGATCCTTGAGGAATTGCCACACTGTCTTGAGATACCATCTCACACCAGTTAAAATGGCGATCATTAAAAAGTCAGGAAACAACAGGTGCTGGAGAGGATGTGGAGAAATAGGAACACTTTTACTCTGTTGGTGGGACTGTAAACTAGTTCAACCATTGTACTCTCAGGACATTTCTAGTCCAAATTTACACCAACACTCTGAGAGGAAGGACTGCAAAGTAGGTACCTTAGTTTTCCACTGACTTCCACTTTTCCTGCTTACACCCTTCCTCCTAGACCTCTCCACACCCCTCCTAGGACACACCTAAAAGGTACTGACATCATGTCACCTCCTCATCTTTCAGGGTAGCAAGGTTGGAATCTCCTGAATACAGCCCCTCAAGCCCTAAAACCTCTTATCTATTACCTTGGGTTCATTGTCCAGGAAGGGGAGGAGAACTTGAACTTGTAGTCACAGAAGGGTGCTGAGAACTAACCAGCAGGACGGCTCAGCCCTGGGAACTGCAGAGGGGTGAGGCTGGGGAGAGAGGAGGCTGGAGCAGCACTGGTGACACTGAACAGTGTCAGGAGGAAGTGACGGATGCAGCGCCCCCATCCCATAGGCAGAGCTGTCATGTGGGATGAGGGACAGTGTTGGGAGCCACCAAGGAAACCCAGAGGTGGGGGAGCAGAGAGCAGAAGGGAGCATGTGATGCTGGACAGTGAAAGGGAGGACAGGCAAAGGCTGGGTTGAGGTTTGTAGGGGGAATGAGATGAGGCAGTGGAGCCATGTGACAGGGACTGAGGGTAGATTACTGGAGCTCCCTGCGTAGAATGAATGTTCAATCAAAATTTGCTGGAGGGAGAGCTGGAGCCATAGGGGAGTGGGTAAAGTGGGCAGGGCTGATTCCACAATTCCCTGCATGCTCCCCCAACTCCACACACATCCCCAACCTCAAACAGGGCACAAGACCAAAGGGCTGAGGAGCCAGGCTATAGCTTAAAGAGGCTGGGGGAGAAAAGCTTGGCTGAGACAACCCATAGGGAGCTAGAGGTTTTTAATATATCCTATTCTGAATAAGAGACGAATTCATTCAGATCAGTGGTTTCAAACCGTGCTCTGGGCAACTCAATTGCTAAGGGTTCCACAAACAGGATAAAGTTTCTTATATACAAAAAAAAATGAAGGTTTCAAATTACACCATAAAACCCCTCATTGCTTATGTCTACTTGGCAGGTAAAATTCCATTTCAAAAGTTAAATGTACTTAAAAAATTACCTAAGACTGGGTAAATTAAAAAAATTAAATGTTGCAAAGAAAAAATTCAAAATTCTTATTCTTGAATGAAAAACGTTCTCTTACTGGTGATTGAGGAGGAGAAACAAAGACTAACAAATGAAAATGGGAGAATCCACACTCAGAGTGGGGCAACTGAACAGGCAGGGGCGGATGGATGGCAGAGGAGGAGGAATCTGGACTCAAGGAGCTGGGGGGCTCTGGGCCTGGAATTTTAGGGTCTGGGGCCCAAGGCACCAGGAGAAGAGGCAGGTCAGGATATCTGAGTCAAGACCTGGGATCTTGCCTTAGCAATGACACTGGAGACTAAAGGTGGACTCCATGGTGCCCTTGAGCCCAGCCCTACCCCATCTCCACTATCCTCTGCCACCAGCTGTGCAACTTCTGCTAGGGGTGAGGTTAATAAACTGGAGAAGTTAATTTGTGGAGCATGAAACAGATGAGCAGAACAATCACAGCACCTTAATTTCCCCAGTGTGCCCAAGAACAGAGCAGGCCTGAAGATACTCAAACAGAAACAAACATGTGCCGTGTCACTGATAATTCTGTGTAGACACACACCTGCCAGACACTGCTCATGGCACTCCCTAGGAAGAACAGCATGTGGGAAAGGCTGCCAAAATTGTTCATGTAAAAATTACATCAATGCTGTCTTCCTCGGTGCTGCCTATGCAGCTGGCAGCCATCTCTTCCTCCACATCATGGCCTCCCTCAGACTCCTCATGAAGGATAAGATCCTCAAAAAGAGGACCAACAAGTTCATGAGGCACCAATCAGACTGAAATGTCAAAATTAAGCATAACTGGCGGAAACCCAGAGGTCTTAACAGTAGGGTTCGTAGAAGGTCCAAGGGCCAGATCTTGATGCCCAACATTGCTTATGGGAGCAACAACAACAACAAAAAAAACATGCTGCCCAGTGGCTTCCAGAAGTTTCTGGTCCACAGCCTCAAGGAGCTGAAAGTGCTGCTGATGTGCAACAAATCTTACTGTGCTGAGATCGCTCACAAAATTTCCTCCAGAACTGCAAAGTCATCATGGAAAGAGTCACCCAGCCGGCCATCAGAGTCACCAACCCCAGTACCAGGGTGCACAGCTAAGAAAATGAGTAGAAAGTTCATGTCCACGTTTTGTGTGTAAATAAAACCATAAAAACTGCCAAAAAAAATTACATCAATGCCTCTAAACCCAAAGGACTCTACCCCCACAGGTCCCTGGTTGTTGTGGTGATTTTCATTGTGTAAAATACTTTCCACATCTTTTGACACCAAGTCTTTCTGCAGCCATGTTTGAAAATTAACTTTCAGGCTACAGAGTCTTTCTTATACCAAAGTTGAAGAAAGTTTTAAGAAATATATTTCTACATCTCCTACATGCAAAACAACAGGAGCAAGTTGAGGAATTCTCAAGAAACTGGTCGAGAAGAGAGAGCGCTTAGCTATGGAAAAGAGAAAGAAGGAAGGGAGGGCTTCCTGGAGGAGGTGGCATTTGAACCAGGACTGACATCAGGATGGAAATGTCAGTCAGGGAGTTAAGTAGGGGGAGCAGCTCCGCCCTCCACGTCCCCAGCTCCTCCCGCCCCTGTTTTTTCTCCCAGTGACCCCACGTGAAACGTCTCCGCCTCCTCCAGCCACCAGCAGAAGGGACTGCCTTCCCCTCAGTGCTCGCCCCTCCCTAGTGATCACTCAGTGCCCCTGAGCTCATTCTTTTCAGTAAATTCTCTCTCTGCGTGGTGAGAAAACAGGCCTGGAGAGGCTCTGCGACCCGCTTAGGACCACAGAACTCGGTACTAGGAAAACTCCTATTTTAAAATCCAGCCCTGGGTGGGAAGATTTGGGAAGAATCGTTAATATTGAGAGAGAGAGGGAGAAAGAGGATTAGATGAGAGTGGCGCCTCCGCTCATGTCCGCCCCCTCCCCGCAGAGAATTACCTTTTCCAGGGACGGCAGGAATGCTACGCGTTTAATGGGACACAGCGCTTCCTGGAGAGATACATCTACAACCGGGAGGAGTTCGTGCGCTTCGACAGCGACGTGGGGGAGTTCCGGGCGGTGACGGAGCTGGGGCGGCCTGATGAGGAGTACTGGAACAGCCAGAAGGACATCCTGGAGGAGGAGCGGGCAGTGCCGGACAGGATGTGCAGACACAACTACGAGCTGGGCGGGCCCATGACCCTGCAGCGCCGAGGTGAGTGAGGGCTTTGGGCCGGCGGTCCCAGGGCAGCCCCGCGGGCCCGTGCCCAGGGCGCAGGAGCAGCCGGGTTGGCCTAAGGGACCTTAGTGCCGGGCGGAAAGGGGACTTTGGGTTGGGGATTCATGGGGGGAGCCCATCTGGAGCTTGTCAGGGGAGCGAGCGCGGGGACCTGGACTGGGCTGAGCATGGAGTGAGGAGGACGAGAGCAGAGAGACCCCCGGGACTTCATCAGGCCTGGCAGCTGACTGCATGTGGGGTGAAAAAAGGAAGCCACAGGACAGCGCACAAGGGTATGGTGTGGAGATGGAGGTGGAGATGGCACAGCAGGCCACACAGAGAAGAAACCTACAGGGAGGTAGCTGGGTTTGAGGTGCTTGAGGGGCAGATGGGTGGTCTGATGGGCAGGTAGACAGAAGGGTCTGCAGCCGGGGAGGAGACTGAGATACATGAGACCATCCAGGGAGAGGGGACCCAGGGGGAAGAGCAAAGGACCGGATCCTGGGAACTGGACAGTTGTGATTTGGCCAAGACAGAAAAGCCTGTGAAAGAGACCAAAAAAACCCAAGTGCAGTGTGAGGAGAGGCCCGCAGAGAAGAGTCTTGGAAGCTGAGGGGAGGTGACCTCAGCAGCACAGTGGACAGCGGTGCCAGTGACTTGGGAAGGTCAGAAAACAGAAGATGGAAAGTGGGTTTGGAAACCAGGGAGACCTGGGGAGAGCAGGTTGGCCGCAGCGGCAGGAGCTGGAATGGGAGGGGGTGCATGAGGCTGAGTGTGGCGCATCCTCCTCGGGGCTGAGATGGATTTTACTTGTCTTGGGTTCCCCACGGCTGTCACAGGGCAGTGTCTCAGTTCATTCGTCTTTTTCCTTCAGGAAGTCTGGGTGTAAAGGGATGGAGAGAGGTGAGGTGTGTGCAGTAAGAGGATTTCTCAAGGATGGGACAGGAAGGCCTTGGAGCTTTGGCTTCCTCCTGTGAACTTGTGGGGTGGGGAGCCTGGTGCACCAACCTGAGGGACTTGAGGGAGTAGTATCAGGATGTGGGATTGAGCCCTGGACCTTTTTTCTAGAAAGAGGAAAAAAATGAAGGGAGGAGGAGGAGGAAGCTGGGGAGATCACACCTTTGATTTTCTTGTTCCTGGAAAGTGAAAGGAAGTTCACCTGCTATGAGTGAGAAGGTGGACACACTGGGTGGGGATGAGGTGAGTGACATGAGCTTAGGAAAGTTGCTGAGGTAATTGGTTGAGAGAGGTGTTCAAATAAAAATAACGCAATTGGCAAAAACTGTTACTAAGACTTTGTAGAGGCACCAATCAGTGACATGGCAGCATTTTCTTTCACAGTAATCAACTGCCAGATTGCAGACAGCCCTGATGCCAGCCTAAGGAGTGTGGGTTTCTCCTCCAGGCCCGCAGGTCCCCAACCTCACTCCTCTGAAGACTCTTCTGGAGATCCTCTGTGATGCACAGATCTCCAGACTCAGTGCCCCCAGACTCAGATTCCCTGGGTGGGGAGGTCTGGGGATCTCTGCTTGTAATCAGCTCCCTAGAGGTTCCCATGTAGCCAGATAAGTATTGTCAGAACACTGAAGATTTTTGAAAAATGAAAAAGAGAAGGTTGGAGATGTGTCTTCAGAAGACTACTAAGGGTGCTGGCTAGAGGAGGGACCAGAGGCAGGGAGATGAGGTAGGAAACTGCTATTATTTGTCAGGGAAATTGCAATCAAGGCATGAGTTAGAACAGGGAAAACACAGAGGCAAGGGAGAGGTGGAAGGGGGAGGAAAGAAGTAGTGACAATTCCAGGGTGGATGTCCACCCAAATCTAGAAGTAATTGAGCAAATGTTTTCTGGGCATTAGAGAAGGCAACTAGAACAAACAGGAATCCTTGCCTTGGTGAAATGTATTTGAACTGGGTCAGAAATGAGGCCATTGGGTATCAGGCCTTAACTCCAGCGCACCCTGGAGGTCACTGATGTGGCTCCAGGCTGACCTGCTCCTGTCAAAGAATATTGAGCAAGATGCCTCTCGTGGAATGTTCTGGGACCTTAAAACAGATACCCAAGTATTCCCCCTGATTTCATGGTTCCCAGAAGCTCTATGGGGAAGAAATTGTAGGTAATTCACAACTGAGATTTAGACATAAGTTGAATAGTGTAATGGACATTGAGTTAACCGAGGTAATGAAGTAGTGAGACACAGGTGCCCCTGAAATAAACTCACATTGAGGGAAGAGGCTGACAATGTGGATCAGTCTGAAAACAAGGCAAAAATACAATAGGGAGTAAGGGTTGTGTGTCAGTTCAAGACTGTACTTTTACCTGGCCCAGCGCCATGTTAGGGTATTTGTGTTCTCCAGGAAGTAGAAAGGAAAGAACTGAGTGATTAGGGACCTAGAAGACTAATTTGAGACATTCCTCTTGATGAGCTGTTCTCTAGGGTAGTCCTCTGAAAGAGCTGTTCTCTAGTGGATCTCCCTGAATGAACTGTTCTCTAGGAGCACTTGACCCTTTTCTGTGTTTGTTTTTTGTTTTGTGTTTGTGTTTGTTTTTGAGACAGGTTCTCACTTTGTCTCCCAGGCTGGAGTGCTGTGGCACCATCATGGCTCACTGCAGCCTCAACCTCCTGGGCTCAAGTGATCCTCCTGCCTCAGCCTCCCATGTAGCTAGAACTACAGATACACGTACCACCATGTCTGGCTAATTTATTTTTCTTTTTAGAGATGGGTTCTCACTATGTTGCCCAGGCCGGTCTCAAAACCCTGGGCTCAAGTGATCCTCATGCCTCAACCTCCCAAAGTGCTAAGATTATAGGCATGACCACCATGCCTGGCCTTTTCTGCTTTCTGAGGAGGAAAAAGGTACTGGTGGCAGAGATCCAAAAGAAAAGTTGCCAGTGGCAGTGTGGAAATTCACCTGAGAACAACAGGACAAGCTGGGGCACAAATGCAAAGATGCAGAGGGAGGCAACACCTGGTCATCTGTGAGACCTTCATGGGACCTGAAGACGCAGCACAGAGGAGGAACTTGAAAAAGGACGGGATTTCTACTACTCAAGCATGTAGGAGCTCAGGATATTCTGTAAATATGAAGATTTTGAGTTTTTGTAGGTGAGGTAAAAAAATACATAGGTTTTTTACAGAATAAGACATGTAAAGCTCTCTTCATTTTCTTTGTATTTTCATGAAGTTATTAGATTCACAGGCCACCATAATGCCATTGTCTGTATATCTTAATTTCAAGATATTATTTGAGTAAATTTTGCTTCCTTTGTATCAAGATAGAACTTTGAAAAGGTAGGTAATTTCACAGTTGATCAAATATTCTTTGCCCAAATTACTTTTGGTTAAAATTTCTCCTAAATGTGCTACAGAGTGCAAACTCTGTCTCCCTGCCATTCCGCTATATACTTACTAACTATTATTTTATTCAAGATCATGCATGCTCTACTTGAAGGTCTATTTCTATCTTTTCAATGCTACCCTTACCCACTAGCCTAATCACATTATTCCTATTTTCAACATCTAGGAATCAATTACATAGTGAACATGCCTAAGAAATAATAATCTGGGCAGATGCAGTGGCTCAGGCCCGTAATCCCAGCCCTTTGAGAGGCCGAGCGGGTGGATCACTTGAGGTCAGGCGTTGGTCAAGTGCTCCTAGAGAACCAGGCTGACCAACATGGAGAAACCTTGTCTCTACTAATAATACAAAAATTAGCCAGGTGAAGTGGCAGGCACCTATAATCCCAGCTATTCGGGAGGCTGAGGAAGGAGAATTGGTTGAAGCCCAGAGGTGGAGGTTGCAGTGAGCCAATATTGCGCCACTGCATTCCAGACTTGGCAACAGAGTGACACTCCATCTCAACAAAAAGAAAGAATGAAAGAAAGAAAGAGCGAGATTATGTCTCAAAAAAAAGGAAGGAAGGAAGGAAGGAAGGAAGGAAGGAAGGAAGGAAGGAAGGAAAGAAGGACAATCTCAAATTCTATTTCATTATTTTTCTTCCACGCTCCTAGTCCAGCCTAGGGTGAATGTTTCCCCCTCCAAGAAGGGGCCCTTGCAGCACCACAACCTGCTTGTCTGCCACGTGACGGATTTCTACCCAGGCAGCATTCAAGTCCGATGGTTCCTGAATGGACAGGAGGAAACAGCTGGGGTCGTGTCCACCAACCTGATCCGTAATGGAGACTGGACCTTCCAGATCCTGGTGATGCTGGAAATGACCCCCCAGCAGGGAGATGTCTACACCTGCCAAGTGGAGCACACCAGCCTGGATAGTCCTGTCACCGTGGAGTGGAGTGAGTCTCTGATGACCCTCTAGACCCCACCTCTGAAGAGCAGGGGACTCTCTGGCTCTGGGGTCCACTCATCTTATCTTCTGCATCTATACCCTGGGGCCATGTCCAAACCCCATCTTTCTTCTATACCAGCTCCTGAGCATAGTTTGAAGCCAGGGAAATGGAGACTTCCTGACCTTGGCTTAGGGGTTCCTGAAGATTCATAGTTCTCCCCCTTGTCAGAGAATCTAGGGACACTGACTGGTCTCGAAACCCTCACACTTAGGAACTGACCTCACACATAGGAACAGTTCTCTTCCTTCAGCATTTTAGCCTCTTCTCAGGCATTTTGAGAGGCAACTTCCAGAATCAGCATTTGCCACCTTGTTGAGGTCACACCCCTGTTCCAGATATGAGGGTGGCTCTTTCTGAATTTCCTCTTAGCAAGCTTTTTCCGCTGCACTGTCCTCATCCCGATATGCTGCATCAGGCTCCAGAATCTCAGACAGGACATGAGTAGGGATGCAGCTGGTGGAGGTGACACTAAACCTGGGTCTGTCCTTCCCAGAGGCACAGTCTGATTCTGCCCGGAGTAAGACATTGACGGGAGCTGGGGGCTTCGTGCTGGGGCTCATCATCTGTGGAGTGGGCATCTTCATGCACAGGAGGAGCAAGAAAGGTGAGAAAGCCTGCAGGGTGAGCGGGACTTACCTTCCCCTGGCATATTCACACTTATTCCACGATGAGGGGTTTGACAGAAAAGAAATGTCAGAAAGCTCTAGAGGCCACTGATATCAGATAATCGGGGAACAAACATGACCTATAGCGAGAGAGGGATCCCAGGCTGGGATCTTAATGCAGCCAGATGCATGAGGTCCCAAGTACTCAGGCTCCTGCGGAGCGTCCATTGAGTGATGGGCAATGGAATTTGGTGGGATGGAAATGTTTCTCTAATTATCTGAGGTGGTTTCAATGGCTGATTATATAACCTTTCGTCTTTCATTTCAGTTCAACGAGGATCTGCATAAACAGGTAATATTCCTGCTTTGATTTCCTTGTGGGGTGGGTTGCAGGAGGATATGAGTCCTTTCTGTGCATTGTAACACTGAGGCTCCTCCAGGAAGGGAATCTCAGGCATGAACCCCTCTTTCAATGTCAGCCTTCAGGCAAGTGGGGAAAGAGCATTGCTTGGCTCCATTGCTGAAGGAAGCAGAGATCAACTCTGTTATTTATCAGCCTGAGACGCATCCTCTCACCATAATTTTTCTCTCCTGGACTTACAGGAAGGAGGCTGGCAACCTGGGATAACTTGTCTTTTACCCCCACAGGGTTCCTGAGCTCACTGAAAAGACTATTGTGCCTTAGGAAAAGCATTTGCTGTGTTTCGTTAGCATCTGGCTCCAGGACAGACCTTCAACTTCCAAATTGGATACTGCTGCCAAGAAGTTGCTCTGAAGTCAGTTTCTATCATTCTGCTCTTTGATTCAAAGCACTGTTTCTCTCACTGGGCCTCCAACCATGTTCCCTTCTTCTTAGCACCACAAATAATCAAAACCCAACATGACTGTTTGTTTTCCTTTAAAAATATGCACCAAATCATCTCTCATCACTTTTCTCTGAGGGTTTTAGTAGACAGTAGGAGTTAATAAAGAAGTTCATTTTGGTTTAAACATAGGAAAGAAGAGAACCATGAAAATGGGGATATGTTAACTATTGTATAATGGGGCCTGTTACACATGACACTCTTCTGAATTGACTGTATTTCAGTGAGCTGCCCCCAAATCAAGTTTAGTGCCCTCATCCATTTATGTCTCAGACCACTATTCTTAACTATTCAATGGTGAGCAGACTGCAAATCTGCCTGATAGGACCCATATTCCCACAGCACTAATTCAACATATACCTTACTGAGAGCATGTTTTATCATTACCATTAAGAAGTTAAATGAACATCAGAATTTAAAATCATAAATATAATCTAATACACTTTAACCATTTTCTTTGTGTGCCATCACAAATACTCCTTAACCAAATACGGCTTGGACTTTTGAATGCATCCAATAGACGTCATTTGTCGTCTAAGTCTGCATTCATCCACCAGCCTAGGCCTCCTGTCTTAATTTTCATACAGACAGAAATGACTCCCCACTGGGGAAAGAGCAAAGCAATACATGTAGCACTCTTTTTCAAACACTGGTCTTTTTTTTTTTCTTAACAATCCAACATTGTTATGTGTTTTGCGTCTCATATTGACACCTTTTGGTCAAGGTAGAGGACATGTTTGTTGTAAGCTTTCTTTTTCGTGTAGAGGATGGATTCTTCACTCCTGATACACACAATCAGTGCACAGCAGCTCTCTTATACATCCAGTTGATGCCTTCAGTCTCCCTGGCTTCTTACAAGCATCTTCTGGGCCTTGTGTGTCCCTGGGCACCTGTCCCTGGTCAATTCCCGAAAGCTACTGTGCTCCTCTTGCCCATCTCCCCTTGCAAATAATATCTTCCATCGGGGGACCGGCTTCCTCCAATTTCAGGAGAGGTGGGGCTGAAGGCACAGACTTGGGCGTCACTGGCACAGATATAAGTAAATACAGCTGGAGTCTGCAGAGAGGCTGGACTGAGTCAGGGAGTCAGGAAAGAGAAGCCACACACAAGGACAACCAATCATGTTTCTCATAATCTTCTTAACCTAGGGAATAGGACACAATCATTTTTTCTTTTTAAAACATCTTTATCCCTGATCAGCCTCATTTCCTCAAAAACTATAAAGGAAAATGCTGCTGACTTGTTTTTGCGTAGTAATTTCAGCTGTCACATAATAAGCTAAGGAAGACAGTATATAGTAAATAAGGACCCTTTATCTGTCTTATTTTCCCTTTTGGCTTCACAGGAAACTTGTGAGAAACCTATGCAGCATAAAATTAATATGATTTCAATCCAGGGATTCAACGATGGAAGGAGGTCATGAGAATAGCAGAAAGTCTTCAAATCGAGATCATTATGAAATCCTCAGACCCAGAGCACATAAATCCTACCCTCAGAGTCACTGAGCAGTTAACATTACAAATTACAAACCATATCCAGTCAGAGTCATTCTCTTTCCTGCTTGTCTCCTGTACTCATGTTACAGGTTAGGGCAGTACCCCGAGTGGAGTGAACAATCTCTGGACTAACACTTGTCAGGATCAGAAGCTGAGGTATCTGCACCCACATTACAGGAACAGGATATGTGCTCCTAGGGAACTGAGGGTGTCAGGAGATGAGGAATGTCCCTGGAGTCACAGAAAGAAGGTATCAGATGTGTCTCACTCTGACATATGCAGGTGTTTATGAAACTCTGGGATTTCTAAGGAAGGATGCAGTGCAGAGACAGGTCCCAGAGGAGACAAGAGCTGAGAGACCATCCAAACTGGGACCACCTTGTCACTAGACTTCAAATTTTCAATATTGATAGAGTGTTTTCTAAGAGTCAGGCCCTTTGCTGAGTGCTATGTGCAGCAGGATCAAAGGCAGCCAGGAGGTAGAGGAGTCTTGAGGTACATCAGTCATTGGAGTTGAAGAGCAGAGATTCAAAGGAAAGTTGGAACTGGAGCTTTAAAGGAGATGTGAAGTGGGTGACTCAACCTCTGACTCAGAAAAATTGATACCTGCAGAAGAAAAAACCCGGCGGGCTTAGGACTCCCAGCTGAGTGTTGTATCCTCCATCCCTTTCCACCTGGTCCCTTCATTTTCTACCCCTCACAGTTCCCTAACGAGAAGGTGGTCCACCCAACAGACAACGCTGCCTCAGATGGTTATCAAGGGGTACCCTAAGAAGAAATCATCTCACCCTCTCTTTGTCCCCATTTGTCAAGTAGCAGTGAGGCCGAGCCAGGGGATGGTGAAAGTGGAAGGAGGTGGGAGTTGGGCATCGGGTGTGAAGATGCTCTTGAAAGGGGTTTTAATAACCACTTGCTACCAGGCCAGTGAACACTTACCATAGTTGATGCCTTTTGAGCATGTTGCATTGTAAACTGTCCCTGAAATTACTGTGCACTTGGCTTATGGGATGAAACATCCTCCTAGTTCTTTTGTCTCTCAGCTTCTCTGAAGTCTCATTGAGCACCTTCTCTTCAATTTCTTTTACACAGTAAGAATAGGATCAGCTGTGCTAAACTAACAAATACCCAGATATCCAGGTTTGGCTCATGTTACACGTCCAAAGTAAGTCATGCAGGAAGCTCTGCTCATCATCGTACTCAGGAAGCCAGGCTGACAGTCTTTCTCCTGCACATCTGCTCCCAGAACCTCCCCAGCAGAATGAAGGGAACCTAAGAATTTATTCACTGGCTTTTAATGATCCCTCCTAGAAAGAACACACTTCTCGCATTTCATTTTCCAATGTAAATCATATGGCTGCAACTAACTTCAAATAAGTGGGAATACTTGAAGGTGGAAAACATTTAAGAAGTACACACTAAATAAATAATAAAATACTTCTACAAGAGATATTTATGGAGGACCTACTGTGTACCAGGAGCAATGCTAGGCATTATGGATATCAGCAGCCTTTGGCTCCTGAAAAGCTTACACACTACCTCCTGGCCTAAGGAGGGGCACAGGGATGCTGGCAACAGTCTATTTCTTCACCCGGGTACTAGTTACATGGGTGCTTGCGGTGATAACCATTCAACGTACATTCTATTGGTTTGTGTGTTTCTTCCAAATGTCCCCTAGTTCACAATAGAAAGGGCTTAAATAGAGAAGTAAAGGAGAATTTGGGAATTTGAAGCAAAAGCAAGAAGCCACTGAATCAAGCACAAATATTGAGCTTTGATAAAGATTGGAATAAGAAACATAATAAATGAGACAAGAAATAGGACTTTTGCAACTGAAGTGTAATTAATAAACAAAAAGCCAAACTGAGAAACTGTCCCAAGGACAATATGATCGAGTAAACAATAGAAAATGTAAAGGACAAGTGAAGAGAAATGAAGGATAGAAACAGACATCTGACATCTTAATAATTAGACGTCTAGAAAGTCAGGGAAATAGTGGAGGAAGAGGAAATAACTGAAAACATAATAGATGTTTAGTCTTTATAGAAAGATGAAATAAGTTCATTCAAAATGCTGCATAGAATGTCAGACTGTTAAACAATTTTGTTAGAGTAAAATGACTGTAAACAAATGAGCTAATTATGTGAATTAAGAGGATGGAAAAGCAGAAAAACAGCAAAAAGAAAATACATGTAAATAATAAGGACAAAAGCTGAATTCAATGAAATATAAAAATAGAGAAGATAAAATCAAATTTTGAGGCAATGAAAACTTTAATGAGACCTCTGGCAAGACTCCTAAGGAAAATACAGGAGATTCAGAACGAAAAGGGTAAATGACATTTATACACATTTTAAAATGCAAAATCTTACGACCAATTCTATACATATAAATTTGAAAATTTAGATAAAACGGATACGTTTCTAGAAAGATATAAAGGTCAAAACTACAGGAAGAAATAGAAAACTAAAATAGAGTAGAGAATATCAAAGAAATTGTCATGGGAAGCAAAGAATCGCCTTCCAAAGGGCCCTGTCCTGATCTTATTGCAGATGAGGGCGTCCTCCCACATTTCCAGGAGCAGATCATGCCTCTTACACGTGTGATTCTAGAACATAGAATGGAACAGAATTTTTGAGATCATTTTATGAGGTTGGTTCATTTATATTTCCAGAGCCAGCTAAGAATAGTACAGGAGAACAGGATTGTGGACTAATTTTAGCCATGTCACTGAATCCAACAGTACATTATAAAAACAATACGTTTTGACCAATTTTAGATTTATTCTAGGAATGCAATGATTCTTCAGTGTCAGAAAATATATAATGTGGTTAACACATTAGTGGACTCCGCAAAATTCATATTAATTTAAACTGAATTCAGCTCAAGACATAGACAGAATTTAATCAATTTCATGACATGTTAAAGGTAGTGAACCAAAAATCTATAGCATATATATTTCAAAGAAATGAGGTGGATTGCCTTTGAGATTGTGCAAAAGATAGGATGTCCTTCGTTGCTGGAAATGTTTAACATAGCATTGGAAGTTCTGAACATCACTCTGCGGGCAGAAGAAAATTAAGGCTGTGTAAAATGTAGGAAGACAGATAGTGACTGCAGATGAAATAATCTAAATACTGGACAAGACTGCAGCCACTGCAGGCCCAAAGCCTGGGTTTAAATCCAAGCTTTGCACTTTGAAGCTGTGTGGTCTTCACCTCTCCCGGTGTCTGATTCCTGCTCTGTAACATGAAATAAATAAGAACCAACCTCCAGATGTAAATAAGTGAACACATGAGAAGCACTTAGAATAGTGCCTAGAACATAGTAAGCAACTCAATGAATGTCATTTCTCATTACATTTGTTAATGTTTTTATCCAGCCCAATGGCAGTAAAACATCAATGCTCAAAGAGCCCCTGGTGAAGTGTTTCTCTTTCCCACTCTTCACCCCTAACTTGTTACCTCGTCTTTTCCACTCTGTCCCTAATACACCTATAGGATGACTCATAGGAGCCCCTGGACCCGGGGATGCTGTCAGATCGCTTGGTCTTTGAGACAATGGTGCCATTAAGGACCCCCGCCAGGCCCACCAGCAGGCCGAGGGCACAGACCAGCATCTCCATGGTCTCAGGCACCTGGATTAGTTCATGGACCTCTGGGGCACCAAGGGAAGACAGAGTTATAAGGTACAGAGAGCAGGGGCTGGCCTTGGATGTGGGAGGTGTTGGGTATTCGAAACCATGAGATGGTGAAATTTGGATAAAGTGACCATAAAACATGGGATTGAGGAAGGCAGGTGCTGAGGGGCGATGGGCCCAGGAAATAAAGGTGGTGCCAAGGCCGTGAGGGCAGAGGGAGGGCGCTCCATACCCCAGTGCCTGAGGAGAGGCTGGTGCAGGCCCCAGTGCTCCCCCTGGAGGTCACAGGTGTCCTCGGCCATGGGAACGAGGGTCAGATAGTGGAACCTGTGTAATCTGAGTTTCTTGCTGGGCAGGAAGATGGTCTCTGCAATACCCTCAATGACTGGCTCCCCATTGCGCAGCCACGTGATGTTCAGCACTGGTGGGAAGAACTTGTCAACATGGCAGACGAGGGTGTTGGGCTGGCCCAGATCCACAGGCTCCTTGGGAAAGACGCTTACCTCGGTGGGGGCTCCAAAAGGGGATAGAACCCAAGGAGCCTACTGCCATTGGCTGATTCTTAAAGGTTCCACCACCCCAAGTCCTATATTCACCAGATTAGGGGCCACCTCTCCCAGGCCCATCCTCCTGCTCCCCTAGGGCTCCTGGACAGGGTCACAGCTTCTCGTGCTCCTGACCTGGCCCCCTCAGCCCAGCCTTTCTCTTGAGTAAGAAGAAAATGCCTCCTCCTCTGCTGTCCTAAGAACCCAGCTGTGTGGACCCAAGATTTCTCGCTCTCAGGGAAGGGGCTCATTCATGAGTGGGCATCATGGCCTCTAGTTCTATGTGTGGCAGAGAGGCCCTCCCATCCCTCCAGCTGGACTCTAGAGGAACAGGCAGCTATAGGCAGTGCCATTTGTGGCCCAAGTCTGTTTGGACCATTGATCCGGGTGTTCAAGTGCTTCCTTGCCATGACGATGCCAGCAATACCCCTCTGAGAGGAACAGGCAGCTATAGGCAGTGCCATTTGTGGCCCAAGTCTGTTTGGACCATTGATCCGGGTGTTCAAGTGCTTCCTTGCCATGACGATGCCAGCAATACCCCTCTGAGCACCAAAGTCAAAGGTGTGAATAAACTCTGGTAGAGGCCAGACCATCTCCTTCTCATCCAGGTTCACGTAGAACTGCTCCTCCTCATCAAATTCAAACATATACTCCCCAGAGGTTCTGTGCGTCTGCACAAACTCCGCATATGTTGACACATGGTCTGCTGCATGAAGGAGAAGATGGAGAATGGGTGAATACGTAGGATGCTACACAGAATGCAGGAAGCAAACAGGTAACAGGAAGGTTATTGGGAACATGAAGGAATAACACAGAAAATGAGAAATGCAAATGAAAGAAAAGAAAAGGAGTGAGAAGAAACAAAGACAGAAATGACCCATGGACGATATAGGTTGTTTCCCTTGTCCCTGAAGACTTAACATCCGTCTATGATAATGGTAATGCTGAATACAGTAAGATAATATTTATTGGGCACTTACTATGTGCTAAACTTACTCATTGAATCTTCACACCCCCATGTAGAAGAACTTATTTTCCATAGTAGGGAACTGACCCCAGAGGTAAAGTAACTTGTCCAAGTCACACAACTCCTGGTAGAAACAATATTGAGTAGTCCTCCTACCTCATTCCTGTAGGATCTCAGAAACCCTACAGGACAATACATTAAAAATTACTGATATAGCCATAAAGCAAGGCAGGGAAGTGGAAGGATGGAATAAATATTTCAGAGTGGAACAAAATCGTGAAGGACATGAAAATACCTCCAGAGTCTTAGTGACATTTATAGACTTCAAGTTACATTCTTACTTTTAGAAGAAAAATGATACCTTCTATAATTTTATCCACAACACTTACATTTTAGGCAGAGTAAATTTAAAAGTATTATCATTCACATAACATTCACAAAATTGTCTTGTGGAGTGTAGTTTTCAAGTGTAGTTTCACCTGGAAATACAAGTTGTTGGCATTTGAAAGACCTATGGGATAGTATCTTAGCTTTACCTGATACATAAGAAGCAGCAACTGGTTGATAACAAAAAGTGAATTATTATTACAGTGAATTACAGAGAGTTTAGGGTTCGGCCTGGAAGAGGAAGTGAAGCCAAATGACACTGCATGGTTGGTGGTCCCTAAGTGAGGATTTCCCCTCCCAGCCCAGCATGGGGAGAACCAGTCCTCTACTTAGATGCATAGTGTGACAGCAGGTTCAGTGCCGCACACGGATGGTGAGGGTCCCCCACTGAGTTTAGGGTCTAGAGGATTACTCACCTACAGAAATGAATCCCAAAGGAAAAAGAAAAATACATGGTGTATAGACTGGGCTACACAGATGTAATTGGTTCAGCTTAGGTTACTTTGTATTTATTATATTTACAAAATCTGAAAACTAAAGGTTGGCACATTTTGAAGCAAATTCCACACTTCAAATGTTAATTTTCATTCAGTTAATAAATGCTTTTTGTGAACTTTCACTCTCTAGGTAATAAGGATGAAACTCTAAAGATGGGAACTTTGTCCTTAATCTACTTGAAATTCAAGAATAAAACAGACAAAGAAAAGATGATTGCTACATGTGTGGTTTGATCACCACTGAGTATCACAAGGTATACACAAGAGCTACTCAGGAGCAAAATTAAAATACGATTTAGGAAAGGTTCCTAGGGACAGTGTTCACCTGCAGATAGCAAAACAGAGAAAGGGGAAATGGCATTTCCAGCAGGAGAAGCAGGCTCAGGAGCAGAGAGGCATGAAGTTGCAAGGAGAACTGCAGTTCTTCAGTGTGACTGAAGCCAGGGGAGATGTGGGCCAGGCAGCACTGTAACCTGCCTTGTGTGCTGATGGCAAGTGTTTGCATTTTATCCCACAGGACATAGGAAGTTGTGAAGTATCTTAAGCAGGAGAGTAACACGGTCAGATTTGTGTTTGGATGGGGCACCTGTAGGAAGGATGGGCTGGAGGAGGCGGGACTCAAGGCAAGACCAGTAGCACTTTTAAGCCCTCTGGTGGGAAGTAATGAAGGCGTAGGCCAGGGCAGGAACATGGGGTGAGGAGGACAGCAGATGGATTTGATGGCAGTAATGACATGAGAGGCCACAGGAATCACTAAATCACATGCCAGAAGTAGGGATATGAAGAAGTCGAGAATAACCACGCAACGTGGAGAATTGTGGCATCCGTGCCTGCAAAGGTGATAATTAAGTGATTGAGAGAAGGTAAAATTTTCTGTTTGAGACATACTGAATTTAAACTTCTAGGGGAAAACATACAGTTGATTTGAAGGCAGTGAAATAAATGGATGAGTGTCATGCTACATTAGGTTAGTGACATAAACTGGAAGGAGGCTCATGGTGGGTGAAGTTCTAATTTTGGGTCAGGTCACTCAAGAAAAGTACACAAAGTCAGGATAGCAGGGATCTGAGTGTGTGCTCCTGCATCCAGACAAACACAGACATGAAGAAAGAGGCTGAAAAGCAGAGGACTAGAAATTGGTAGGAAAACAGAGAGGAAGTGGGTTCATAAAAGACAAGAGACAGGAGAAAACTTCCAGGAAAGAGGAGAGGGGGCATCTCAAACACACTAATGACACACATAAGACAGAAACAGAACAGTGACCACTGGCTTGAGTTGTATAAAAGTCATTAGTTGCCACCCTGAGAGGAGCATCAGAGATGAGGGAAAGAAAAAGAGAGAGTACATTGGGTTGAGGACTGAATGAAATGGGAGAAAATCGATAATAGGCTGGGCACAGTGGCCCATACCTGTAATCTCAGTGATTTGAGAGGCCGAGACAGGAGGATCACTTGAGGCCAGGAGTTTGAAAGCAGCCTAGGAAACATAGTGAGAGTCCATCTCTAAGAAAACAATTTTGGATTCCCTGCCTTCCATGAGCAACACAGCAAACATAAGCTCTGCAGATGTGCTCAGACTTGAGCCTGACTCACTGAAGAGAGTGTGGTGCTGCCAGGCCTCAGACACCAGATTATAATCAACCTCTTCCCAGGCCCTGCACAGGAGAGGCCCACTCTGTGGGGCATACAGTGCCCAGGGGTGGTACAGGCCCTGCAGAGACCACAGACTGTTCACCTGACAAGAAATATCTTGAGGAACTCACTTCACAGATCCCTCAAGAAAGGAACCACTGCAGGAGAATACCCAGAAAATCGAAAGAATTCACAGATCCTTTTAAAGAAGGGAGGGGCCACTGCAAACTCCACCAGACAAGTGAAAAACTGTGCGTTCCCAAAGCGTGAGAGGGGAAAAACCTGCCTCCGGACCCATGTCCCCACTGGGGAACTCGAAAATCCAGATTACAGGAAAAGGATTTAACTTTACCTAGACCTGAAACAGATTTAGCATGAAATACAAAAGTACGCCGGGCGCTGCCGCTCACACCTGTAATCCCGGCACTTTGGGAGGCCGAGGCGGGCGGATTACAAGGTCAGGAGATTGAGACCATCCTGGCTAACACGATGAAACCCCGTCTCTACTAAAAATACAAAACAATTAGCCAGGCGTGGTGGCGGGCGCCTGTAGTGCCAGCTACTAGGAAGGCTGAGGCAGGAGAATGGCATAAACCCGGAAGGCGGAGCCTGCAGTGAACCGAGATCGCGCCACTGCACTCCAGCCTGGGTGACAGAGTGAGACTCCGTCGCAACAAAAAGAAAAAATATATATATATATATGGTAGATGCAGCAGTGAGAAGAGCCTTGTAGGCACGCCCAGTCTTTAGCTCAAGCCCAGGGAAGCCACCCCTGACTATATCTCACAAGGGCCCTGGGGGAAGGCAGACGGCAAAATTTGGAAGGGGTCACAGTGTGAAAGGAGCGTCCAACTGAAATTTGTTATAATTCTGACTGGGCACAAATCCTCTGGAGCAGAATCTGGGGGCGAACGGAACTGCTGGAGAAAGAGCAGAAGTTACTGCCAACATTGTGGGCAGACAGGGAGGCACATGGCCTGAAAGCTGTGCTTGCTTTCTCAGCAGGAAACTTATAGCCTGGAGTGAGGTCTGAGTCCATCCTGAAGGCTGCAGGGAGATAAATTCAATGCTGTTAGTGTGGCACAGCAGGAGCAAAACCTGCCTCGCCAACTGCATGGGAGCTGGGTGAAGCCTATTGCTACCAGGTTTCCCCTACTTCTCTGGTGACAGAGGCAGCCATAATGCCCTCTGGAACATAATTCCATTGGCTGGAGAAAAACCCTCCGCCCCATCCCTCACAGTGGCTGCCGCAAGCCCCCCGCCCGAGGAGAGTCTGAGCTCAGACCTGCCTAACCCTGTCCACACCTGAGGGCATTTCTCTACCCACCTGGTAGCCAATCACAAAAGACGTAAACTCTTGGGAGCTTTATGACACCACTCATTGCCTGAGAAACTGAATATTTATCTTGGCCAACTTAGGGCAAGCTTATATCCACCTTCTACTATTGTAGCTGGTGCCCTCTTGAAAGCACCACATCCTGGCTGGAGGCCAACCAACTCAGGACATTACAACAATTCACGACAGAATAACTGCTCTAAGAAAGGAGAAAACAGCTAATTCCACTGGCTGAAAAATCTTGACTAACCAGTGGTCTTCGGTCTGTTCACATGACAACTGCACTGCTAGCATAACCAGCATTTGAGAAAGCCACCACACTAAGTCTATCTACAACCAAGGATTCTCACAGAGTCTACTTCACTCCCCTACCACCTCCACACTGGACCCCAGCAATAGATCCAAACTAAGAAGAAATCTCTGAATTGCTAGATAGAGAATTCAGAAGGTTGATTTTAAGCTACTCAAAAAGATACCAGAGAAAGGTGAAAAACAACTTAAATAAATTTTTTAAAAACACAGGATATGGATTAAAAATGCCCCAGGGACGTAGATATCATAAAGAAGAAACAATCCAACTTCTGGAAATGAAAGACACACTTAGAGAAATACAAAATGCACTGGAAAGTTTCAACAATAGGATCCAACAAGTAGAAGAAAGAACTTCATAGCTCAAACAACAAGCCTTTCGAATTAACCCAGTCAGACAAAGACAAAGAAAAAAGAACTTTAATAAATAAACAAAGCCTCCAAGAAATTTGGGATTATGTTAAATGACCTAAGAATGATTGGCATTCTTGAGGAAGAACAAAAATCTAAAAGTTTGGAAAACATATTTGAGGGAATAATCAAGGAAAACTTCCCTGGCCTCGCTAGAGATCTACACAACCAAATACAAGAAGCTCAAAGACCACCTGGGAAATTTATCACAGAAAGATTATCGCCCAGGCACATAGTCATCAGGTTATCTAAAGTCAGGACAAAGGAAAGAATCTTAAGAGCTGTGAGGCAAAAGCATCAGGTAACCTATAAAGGAAAACCTATCAGATTAACAGCAGCCTATAAGCCAGAAAAGACTGGGGTCTTATCTTTAGCCTCCTCAAACAAAATAATTTCCAGGCAAGAATTTTGTATCCAGCAAAACTAAGCGTCATAAATGAAGGAGAGATAAAGTCTTTTTCAGACAAACAAATGCTGAGAGACTTCACCGCTACCAATCCAGCACTACACAAAATGCTAAAAGGAGTTCTAAGTCTTCAAACAAAACTCCAAAATACACCAAAATAGAACCTCCTTAAAGCATAAATCTCACAGGGCCTATAAAACAGTAATGCAAAGGAAAAAAATAAGGAATTCAGGCAACAACTAGCATGAGAAATAGAACAGTACTTCACATCTCAATATTAACACTCTCCACTTAAAAGATACAGAATGGCAGGAAGGATAAAAATTCAGCAACCAAGTATCTTCAGTCTTCAAGAGTCATCTAATGTGTAAGGACTCACAAAAACTTAAGGTAAAGGAGTGGAAAAAGATATTCCATACAAATGGAAAACAAAAGCAAGCAAGAGTAGCTATTCTTATATCAGTCAAAACAGATTTTAAAGCAACAACAGTTAAAAAAGACAAAGAGGGACATTATACAATGATAAAAGGATAACTCCAACAGGAAAATATCACAATCCTAAACATATATGCACCTAACATGGGAGCTTCCAAATTTATAAAACAATTATTACTAGACATGAGAAATGAGATAGACAGCAACACAATAATAGTGGGGACTTCAATACTCCACTGACAGTACTAGAAAGTCATCAAGACAGAAAGTCAACAATGAAACAATGGACTTAAGTTACACTAGAAGAAATAAACTTAACAGATATTTACAGAACATTCTACTCAACAACTGTAGAATATACATTCTTCTCATCAGCACATGAAACATCCTCCAAGATAGACCACATAATAGGCCACAAAACAAGCCTCAACAAATTTAAGGTAATCAAAATTATATCAAGTCCCCTCTCAGACCACAGTGGAATAAAATTGGAAATTAACTCCAAAAGAAACCTTCAAAACTATACAAATACATGGAAATTAAATAATTTGCTCCTGAATGATCTTTGGGTCAACAGTGAAATCAAGATGCAAAATTCTCTGAACTGAATGATAATAGTGACACAACTTGTGAAAACCACTCGGACACAGTAAAAACAGTCCTAAGAGGAAAGTTCATAGCATTAAATGCCTATATCAAAAAGTCTGAAAGAGCACAAATACAAAATGTAAAGTCACACCTCAAGGAACTAGAGAAACAAGAACAAACCAAACCCAAACCCAGCAGAAGAAAAGAAATAACAAAGAGAGCAGAAGTAAATGAAATTGAAACAAAAAAATACAAAAGATAAATGAAACATGAAGCTGATTCTTTGAAACGATACATAAAATTGATAGACCATTAGTGAGATTAACCAAGAAAAGAGAGGATCCAAATAACCTCAATTAGAAACAAAATGGAAGAAAATGCCACTGATATTACAGAAATATAAAATATCATTCAAGGCTAATATGAACACATTCACAGGCACAAACTAGAAAACCTAGAGAAGACAGATTCCTGGAAATATACAACCCTCCTAGAATAAATCAGGAAGAAATAGAAACTGTGAACAGACCAATAAAAAGCAGAAAGATTGAAATGGTAATTTTTAAAAAACTGCCAACGATAAAAAATCACAGATTCACATGGACTCACAGCTGAATTCAATCAGACATTCAAAGAAGAGAATTGGTACCAATCCTACTGAAACTATTCCAAAACAGAGAAGGAGAGAATCCTCCCTAAATTATTCTATGAAGCCAGGATCGCCCTAATACCAAAACCAGGAAAGGACATAATAAAAAAGAAAACTACAGACCAATATCTCTGATGAAAATAGATGCAAAAATCCTCAACAAAATACAAGCTAACATAATCCAACAGCATATCAAAAAGATCATACATGGTGATAAATTGGGTTTCATGCCAGGGATGCAAGGATGATTTAATACACACAAGTCAATAAATGTGATAGATCACATAAACAGATTTGAAAACAAAAATCATATGATCTCAATAGATGCAGAAAAAGCATTTGACAAAATCCATCATCGCTTTTTTATTAAAACCCTCAGCAAACTTGACATACAAAGATCATAACTTAAGGTAATAAAAACCATCTATGACAAACCCACAGCCGACCTTATACTGAACGGGGAAAAGTTCAAAGCATACCCCCTGAGAACTGGAACAAGATAAGGATGCCCACTCTCACCACTTCTATTCAACATAGTACTGGAAATCCTAGCCAGAGCAATCAGACAAATCAGTAAATAGGAAGTCAAACTGTCACTGTTCACCAATGATATGACTGTATACCTAGAAAACCATAAATACTTATCCAAAAAGCTCCTAGATCTGATAAATGAATTCAGTAAAGTTTCAGGATACAAAATCAATGTACACAAATCTGTAGCACTGCCATATACTAACAGTGACCAAGCTGAGAATTAAATCAAGAACTCAACCCCTTTTATAGTAGCTGCAAAAAAATAAAATACTTAGGAATATACCTAACCAAGGAGGTTTACTGGGGGAACCAGCCCCCAATATTTCAAAGTATGTTCTTTTCTATTTTCCCTAAGTGTGGGCCAGTCTGAGAAATAAAGAGAAAGAGTACAAAAGAGAGAAATTTACAGCTGGGTCTCCGGGGGTGATATCACATGTCAGCAGGTTCCATGATGCCCACCTGAGCCGCAAAACCAGCAAGTTTTTATTACGGATTTCAAAAGGGGTGGGGGTCTATGAATAGGGAATGGGTCACAGGGATCACATGCTTCAGAGGGCAGTAAAAGATCACAAGGCAGAGGGCAAAACTAGAATCACTGATGAGGTTCCACATCCCGCTGGGCACACATTGTCATTGATAAACATCTTAACAGGAAACAGGGTTCGAGAGCAGAGAACCAGTATGACTAGAATTTGCCAGGCTGGAATTTCCTAATCCTAGCAAGCCTGAGGGCACTGCAGGAGACCAGGGCATATTTCATCCCTTATCTTCAACCATGTAATTCAGACACTCCCAGAGTGGCCATTTTAGAGACCTCCCCCGGGAATGCATTCTTTTCCCAGGGCTATTCCTTGCTGACAAAAGAATTCAGCGATATTTCTCCTATTTGCTTTTGCAAGAAGAGAAATATGACTCTGTTCTGCCTGGCCCTGCAGGCAGTCAGACCTTATGGTTATCTCCCTTGTTCCCTGAAAATTGCTGTTATCCTGTTCTTTTCAAGGTGCCCAGTTTTCATATTGTTCAAACACACATGCTTTACAAACAATTTATGCAGTTAACGCAATCATCACAGGGTCCTGAGGTGACATACATCTTCAGCTTACAAAGATGACAGGATTAAGAGATTAAAGTAAAGACAGGCATAGGAAGTTATAAGAGTATTGATTGGGGAAGTGATAAATGTCCATGAAATCTTCACAATTTATGTTCTTCCACTGTGGCTTCAGCCGGTCCCTCCATTCAGGGTCCCTGACTTCCCGCAATAGAGGTTAAACACCTGTACGAGGAAAATTAAAAACACTGCCGAAAGAAATTATAGATGACACTAACAAGTAGAACCACGTCCCATGCTCATGGAAGGGTAGAATCAACATTGTGAAAATGACCATACTGCCAAAAGCAATCTACAAATTCAATGCAATCCCCATCAAAATGCCATCATCATTCTTTACAGAGCTAGAAAAAAACAATCCTAAAATTCATATGGAACTACAAAAGAGCCCACATAGCCAAAGTAAGATTAAGCAAAACGAATAAATCTGGAGCATCACATTACCTGACTTCAAAATATACTGCAAGGCTATAGTCACCAAAACAGCATGGGAATGGTATAAAAACAGGCACATAGACAAATTGAACAGAATAGAAGTCCCAGAAATAAAACCAAATACTTACAGCCAACTGATCAAACAAAAACATAAAGTGGGGAAAGGACAGCGTATTCAACAGATGGTACTGGGGAAATTGGCAGTCCACATGCAGAAGAATTAAACTGGATCCTCATCTCTCACCTTATACAAAAATCAACTCAAGGTAGATCAAAGACTTAAATCTAAGACCTGAAACCATAAAAATTCTAGAACATTGGAAAAACTCTTCTAGACATTGGCATAGGCAAAGAGTTCATGACCAAGAACCCAAAAGCAAATGCAAAAGAAACAAGATAAATAGATGGGACCTAATTAAACTAAAAAGTTTCTTCAAAGGAAAAGAAATAATCATCAGAGTAAACAGCCCACAGAGTGGGAGAAAATATTCGCAAGCTATACATACAAAAAAGGACTAATATCCAGAATCTACAAAAAACTCAAACAAATCAGCAAGAAATAAACAAATACTCCCATCAAAAAGTGGGCTAAGCAGAGGAACAGACAATTCTCAAAAGAAAATATACAAATGGTTGACAAACATATGAAAAAATGCTCTACATCACTAATTATCAGGGAAATGCAAATCAAAACCACTATGTGATACCAACTTACTCCTGTAACAATGGTCATAATTTAAAAATAAAAAAAAAAATAGACGTTGGGGTAGGTGTGATGAAAAGAGAACACTTCTATGCTACTGGTGGGAAATTAAACTAGTACAACCTATGGAAAACAGTACAGCGATGCCTTAAAGAACTAGAAATAGATCTACCATTTGATCCAGCAATCCCACTACTGGAGGAAAAAAGCCATTGTATGAAAAAGACACTTG
The DNA here is from genome assembly GCF_000001405.40 of Homo sapiens. Classification (NCBI taxonomy): domain Eukaryota; kingdom Metazoa; phylum Chordata; class Mammalia; order Primates; family Hominidae; genus Homo; species Homo sapiens. The sequence continues at coordinate 4,522,766 of NT_167246.2, forward strand.
CACACACATGTTTACAGCACCATGATTCACAATTGCAAAAATATGGAACCACCCCAAATGCCCATCAGTTAATGGGTGAATGAAGAAAATGTGATATATATATATGTGATATATATATATGTGATCTATATATATATAGATCACATATATATATATGATCTATATATAGATCACATATATATATATGATCTATATATAGATCACATATGATATATATGTGATCTATATACCTTAGAATACTACTCAGCCATAAGAAAGAATGAAATAACATTTGCAGCAACCTAGGGGGAATTAGAAACCATTATTTTAAGGGAAGTAACTCAAGAATGGAAAACCAAATATTGTATGTTCTCACTTATAAGTGGGAGCTAAGCTATGAAGACACAAAGGCATAAGAATTATATAATGGACTTTGAGGACTTCCAGGTATGAGTAGGAGCTGGGTAAGGGATAAAAGACTACACACTGGATACAGTGTACATTCCTCAGGTGATGGGTGCACCAAAACCTCAGAAATCACCACTAAAGAACTTATCCATATAACCAAACACCACCTGCTCCCCAAAAACTATTGAATTAATTTTTCGAAATGATTTTTTAAAAAACTTTTATTGGAAGGACCCTCCGGAGTTCTGAGGAGGAGGCCTGAGCATATGTGGGGAAGGCACAGATGAACACATAGGAGGGATCTCTAAGAAAACAATGGCCACCAGGTCACTGCTAGACTCACCACAGGGCCTTCTAAACCAGGGGGCCCCTCCACGAGCATACCCTGTGGAGTCAAAGGTTAAAACTCACAGGTGACAGGGCCAGCACACTAAACCCCACTTGCTTCTCCTCTTTCCACCACCTCAGCCCTGTGACCAGCATGACTTACAGGTTCCAGCACTGCAGGCTCTCTCTTCTCTCCCTTCAGCCCCCGGGGCCCATGGGCAGCCTAAGGGAGACACACATGTAACCCCAGTGGGGCCCATGAGCAGCCAGGACACCAGGCCTGCCCCCATCTCAACTCCAACCTCGATTTTGGGTCCTCTGGAGACCAGACCAGCCCTACCCACAAGCCCCACAGGCTTCCTCTAAATACTTCTGTTCACAAAACTCTCATGCCTGCCAAGGAGATCTCAGGGTTCCCTGCACCCCAGTTCTCAGTCCCACCTCAGCAAACACAACCTCTCCAAATCCTGAAGAGCCTCTTTCAGAAAGAGGACTTTGAGTCTTTCAGTCTTTCTCCAAAAAAGAAAAGGTATATGCCCTTATGCACAAAATTTTATTTAGAATTTGAAGGAGTTCAAAAATGTAAAAACCCTGCACAGGTTAAGTATCCATACTCCAAGTAAATTTGGAGAGCATTTCCCAGAGATATTCCAAACTCAGGCCTCATAACTGCCTTTTGCAAAACATACAGTTCTTGGGCTCAGTTATCCAAGCCCCAGAGCAGCCCCCTACAATGCACCCCACAGTTCCTCTCCCAGCAGGATGCTTTGCCCTTCTTCTGGCCCTCATGTACACTCCAAGCCAACCAGTTCCCTCCCTTGCACACCTCCATTCAGATGCCTGTTCCCAAATCCAGGCCATAGCCAAGATAAGGGTGGGGAGAAGGTGAAACATTCACCACCACCCCAACTCCCCAAAACAAAGATCTTCAGAATGCCCCTCTCCACCTTCATCCTGACAGCAATGATCCGTTTCAAAATTCTCCCAGATCCCACATCAACCCCAAAGACCCAGACAGCAGCATAAAGGAAAGGCAGCAGAAGCTCACGGGTGCCAAGAGCAGGAGGTGTGGGATGCAGCAGCAGGGTAGAAAAGGCAGCCATAACTGCAAGGCAGGCAGAAGATGTAGCAGAGTAGACAGGAAGCAGTCCAACTGACAGAGAATACTGGAAGATATGAGAACAACTAAGGGACACAAAATAAAATGACAAACACTTGGATGCAAGAGTGATGCCAGGGCCAAGGAAAATTAAACATGGCCAAGATGGCCACAAAACAAACTGGACAAACAGGAAGTGGCTGTACAGACAGGAAGCAGCCAAGAAAAGAGGATCTGGGAAGTGAACCTTCAACAATATGGCTACCATGACCCAGAGTGAAAAGAAAGGCACAAAACAGGTACAATGGGACTCCTGCAGAGGGAATTATGCATGCAAGGCTTAGTGGGTAGATGAGCGGGAGGTACAGAGTAGATGGAATCAGATGAGTGAATAGATAGATGGGTGGAATTGAGTACATGGTTGAGTGAACGGTTGGATGTGAAGTGAGTGGGTGAGGAGATGGGTGCATGAGTGTATTGAAGGAGAGAGTGGTTGAGTTCCAGGAAGGATAATGGATAGATGGGTGGCTGAACAGATGCATGCATCCTTGTATGCATGGGTAGATGGGGTGTGTGAGTGGGTGGGTGAGTGAATAGATGGATGGATAAGTTGAAGAGGACAGATGAACAAAAGCATAGTCGAATAGATGTGTGTAAAGAAGGGGAGAGTCATTAAGCAGGGGGAGGATGGACAGGTGAGTGGATATAAGCCTTCATGCATGAGTAGATGGGTAAGTTTGTGATGCATAGGTGGGTAAATGGTTGCGGGAGTGGGTGGTGGATGTGTGCGTAGGTGGACTGGTGAATGAGTGGATGGATGGGGTGGATGAGGAGAGAGATAGGTTCAAGGGATGGATAGATGGAGAGATGAAGACTGAAGGATAGAATAAGTGGCTGTGGACAGTCCTGCCACATAAGTGGACATCTAGTTATTCTGCAGAGATCAGCAGTCCTGAAGATAGGAAATGCAAATCAAAATTCACAAGAAAAAAAATGAAGGCTTAGGAAATAGGAACATTGCATACTGGGGCCAGAAGAGGAGTGGGCACAAAATAAGGGACCAGAAGTCACTCCTTTCTCTGATTTTTGTGGTAACCTCAAAGACTTTCTTCATCTGGGATACAGGCACCAACAATTATCACCCCACAGGTGTCCAACACTGGACTAGTTCTTCAGGGGAGAGGCCGGGTGACTCACATCTTGCAGTCAACAATGAGGGTGACAGACTGGCCCTTCATGGCCATAGCCACAAGGTGCCACCTGGTCATGGAGTGAGAGGTTCAAGTGACTGACTGAAGCAGGGGCGTCAACAGGGTTGGAGATCTGTTGATGAAAGTTGAAACCAATGACGATGAGAGCAGTAATCACAATAGCTGCCATTTATCAAGTGCTTACAGTGCAACAAACACTGTGCCATCACTTTCTCACTTGTTTGTGCCAATTCTATTTACTGTCCATCCTAAGATGTAGAAACTGAGGCTCAAAAAATTTAAGTAACTTGCCCAAGGTACAGGCTAACACAACTTGCAGAGAAGGATGCACTCTAAGCCCAAACTCTGGGCTAGAAGTGACTGAACTTTGGGCAGTGCGTAGGTGTGTTGTGGCCAAAAGAAGGAACAGGGTTTCACAGTTTAGAGCGTACAGGTTCTAGGGCACTTTCTCACAAAAGTGTGGGCCAGGCAGACCAGAGGAGCAAATAGACTTACTTGCCAACTACTAGGGTGAGGCCTCAGAAGACGGGCTAAGCAGGTTGAAGTCGTCCAGTCTGATCCTCATACAGGAAGCTGACAAGTTGGCCTGGCTCCAGGCTCAACTGTTGGACACCTGGGCACTGCAGAGAATCAGGAGGGGAGCTTGGAGACCAGGACGGGTCCAGAAAACAGTCAGGAGAAAGAAATCTTTAGGAAATCCTCCTGGTACCCGAGAGAAATACACACAGAGTGAGAGGCAAAGAGAGCCACCACCCCTTTCCTCCTGGTGTCTGATTCCAGACCCCACCCCATTACCTCCCTCACCGTGTCACTACACTTAGGAAGAGGTAGAGGGTGGGTGTGCTGAGTTGGGCAGTTTATGACACTCAGTAGATAGACAGATACCCCTTGCCCTCCAGACACCATCAGGGAAGTAGGGGAAACTCAGGCCCAGGAGCAAATCCACAGGGGGTGCACCTGGGAGAGTCCATGAGGGTCAGGGGAAGGGACACGCCCTCAGGAGGGAATAAATGGGGGACTTTGTCTCAGAAGGGAGTGCAACTTGCACTTGTGGTCACAGAGGGCTGCTAAGAACTCCTCAACAGGACAGTTCAGTTATGGGAACTGGGAAGGGGTAAGACTAGGAAGAGAGGAGGCTGGAGAAGTGTGTGATGTCGCTGAACAGTGTGCAGCAGGAGGGAAGGGGTGCAGATGAGAAGAGAACTTGAAGGGTCAGCAATTCCATCAGCCTTTGGGGTAGAGAGCACATGAATTGAGAAAGAAAGCTGAGATATAGCTTGTAAAACAGCTGGAATTCAGATCTCTCCTAAGTCCTCTTCCTTTCACATATTTTGTCACCTGCCTCGAGACACACACAGTTACTGTCATCCCTGGGTTCAGTACTGTAAGCCCAGACCCATCTTCCCTGCTCCCTTTATACCTGATCCTCCTATTTCTCTGCCCTGTTTAGGTCCCAGGCAGAAGCTAGGTGGTCATCTCTGTGCCCTCTCTGGTCCTCCAGGTGAACAGAACTTAGCATTCAAGGAGTTCCCTAAAGTCAATTAATTTCACCCCCAAACCCCAGCTGACTTTGAGGGCATCCGCATGCATCATGTCGCCAACATATCCTGACAAGGGGAAGGGCCACATTTCTGAAGCCAGAGAAGAAGCTCAATTCTGGAATGATGGGGATGAAGGAGAAATAATTGCTCACATTATGTAAAACTGCTCTCTGAAAGGATTTCAAAACCAAGGTAAGATTTCTGAAATGACTTCTGTTGAACTTCTGACTCCACTCTACTTCCTCCTTCCTGGAAATCTTTACCTCCTTGGCTTATGTGCCAGTATATTCTACTAATTCTTCTGCCTCTCTGCTTCTCCATTTTCTTTGAATAGTTCTCTTTTGACATTTTGTTCATTATATATTTTCCATTAATTTAGATTTCTTAAGATATTTCATTAAAATATGATTGACTTTTATTACTGAGTTCTTTTGGTATCCTCCTAAATTTTGCACCTAAGGTAAGTGCATCCCTAGTCCCAGCCTGGCTTTCCACACTGTCTCTTAATATCTAACATTCTCTATTTATTTCATTCATTTCATGTAAATAATTGTAAATCCTTATAGATAGAATTATAAATGTGTGTAAACAATGAAAAATTGAAAACAGAGAGAATATATCCTATGTCCTACTGGATATTAACATATACTACAATGTCATAGTAAAAAAATAGTATCAAAAGCCTACTATATGTCGAACATTGTTAGATGCTAAATATTCAAATAAAAGTAAGACATAGGTCTTGTCCTCCTGATGTTTACAGTTCACAGAAGAGAACACAAGTGACAAGACAACAGCAGGCCCAGATGGATAAGTGCAGATATGGGGCAGGCACAAGATGCTGCTGTCAAGGCATCAGGGAAGGTTTCCTGGGGAACAGATGGCTTCAATGTAGGCAGTCCGAAAACAGGGCAGAAGCCACTTCTCACACAGGAGGAAGCAGGTTCAAAAGTGTGGGCCCAGTGTGGCAATGACATATCTGAAGAACTTCAGCTGCTTCAGTATGAATGGAGCCAGCTTTGGATGTGGAACAGCAGCAAGAAAAAAGGAAAAATAGACAGGCAGGGGCTGGATCATGACAGATGTTACATGCAAAGCTCAGGAGTAGCTACTCTGTCCTGGAAGTCATAAGGAATCATTGAAGGATTTTAAGCAGGAGAGTGATGGCGCATTTGCAATTTAGGAAGATCACTACGGCAACAGTGGGCAGCATGAGTGAAAGAAGTTGGTTCAAGAGGCAAGACTAATAGTGCCTGAACAAAGAGTGAGGAAATGGGCATAGGAGTAAAATGATGGAAGAAGAGGACTTAATTTGATTGACATTAAAGGGATTATTGGTGAGTGATGTCGGTGGCATCCGACTTAGAAAACTCCCAGATAACTCTTATTCCTAGACTGGCCAATGCAATCATCTCTTTTGTGTGTGTGTGTGTAAGTGTGTGTCACTTTTCTAAATTATTTTGATTGACAAAAATTATTTATATTTATCATGTATAATATGTTGTTTTGAAATGTATGTACATCATGGACCGGCTACATCAAGCTAAAGAACTTATGGCTCACCTCACATACTTATTTTTTGTGGTGAGAACACTTAAAATCCACCCTTTTAGCAATTTTCAACAATACATTGTTAGCAACTATAGTCCATGTTATACAATAAAACTCTTAAAATTATTCCTCCAATCTAAATGAAATGTATCTTTTGAAATGTATCCTAAATGAAATGAAATGGATGTATCCTTTGACCAACATCTCCCCAACCCAATGCAAACATCTTGATTCCATTCATTAAAAAGGGTAATGAGAGAAGACAGCCTGACTGAGAGAAGAGACTGAGTTCAGTGTGGGGCTATTGCACTTAGAATATCTAAAAGTTATCTAAGGAAAAATAATATGTAAACATTTTTGTATGATGGGTGGTCTCAGTAGAGGAGTTTAAGCCAGAGAACTGAGAGTCATCAAGCATAGGTGCAGGTTAGATGAGCTTTTCCAGGAAGAGTGCCAAAAATCAGAAATGCAGGGATCTCAGGGTATGATGAGAGAACATAATAATTAAGAGGAGATTTCAAAGGATGATAAGGAGGATTCAGTAAATAGGAGAAAAATAAGGACAGAGTAGCTCATTAGAAAGAAGTGGATTATGGTGCAAATATTATCAGTAACTCAAGTCAGAGGCACTGACAAGAACCCACTGGATTTGACCTTCTACAGAGGTTTCTGATGGCCGTGATGAGAGGATCCTCAGGGGTGTACTGGAGACAAAAGTCAGAAGCTTAGCTCCAAGTGTGAGGACACAGAGAGAGTGTCTCTAGGGTAGGATGCAGACTGAAGGCAAGGTTGTTTTTTATTAGTTGGTTCATGGTTATGTTGCTTTTTTCCCCCGTAGGTTATAGTGGTACAGGTAGTATTTGGTTACATGAGTAAGTTCTTTAGTGATGATTTGTGAGATTTTGGTGCACCTATCACCTGAGCAGTATCCCTTGCCCCCTCCCACCTTTCCTCTCAGGTCCCCAAAGTCCATTGTATCATTCTTATGCCTTTTCATCCTCTTAGCTTAGCTCCCACATATCAGTGAGAATATATGTTTAGTTTTCCATTCCTGAGTTAGTTCACTTAGAATAATGGTCTCCAATCTCATCCAGGTCGCTGCAAATGCCATTAACTCATTCCTTTTTACGGCTGAGTAGTATTCCATCATATATATATCACAGTTTCTTTACCCACTCGTTGATTGATGGGCATTTGGGTTGGTTCCATGATTTGTGATTGTGAATTGTGCTGCTATAAACACGTATGTGCAAATATCTTTTTCATATAATGACTTATTTTCCTCTGGGTAGATGCCCAGTAGTGGGATTGTTGGATCAAATTATAGTTCCACTTTTAGTTCTTTAAGGAATCTCCTCACTGTTTTCCACAGTGGCTGTACTAGTTTACATTCCCACCAGCAGGGTAGAAGAGTTCCCTGATCACCACATCCACACCAATATCTACTGTTTTTTTATTTTTTTATCATGGCCATTCTTGCAGGAGTAAGGTGGTATCACATTGTGGTTTTGATTTGCATTTCTCTGATCATTAGTGATGTTGAGCATTTTCTTATGTTTCTTGGCCATTTGTATATCTTCTTTTGAGAATTGTCTATGCATGTCCTTAGCCCACTTTTTGATGGGGTTGTTTGTTTTTTCTTACTGATTTGCCTGTGTTCATTGTAGATTCTGGATATTAGTCCTTTGTCAGATGTATAGATTGTGACTACTCTGTGGGTTGTCTGTTTATTCTGCTGATGGTTCCTTTTGCCGTGCAAAAGCTCTTTAGTTTAATTAAGTCTCAACTATTTATCTTTGTTTTTATTGAATTTGCTTTTGGGTTCTTGGCCATGAAATCCCTGCCTAAGCCAATGTCTAGAAGGGTTTTTCCAATGTGATCTTCTAGAGCTTTTATAGTCTCAGGTCTCAGGTTTAAGTCCTTAATCCATCTTGAGTTGATTTTTGTATAAGGTGAGAGATGAGGACCCGGTTTCATTCTCCTACATGTGGATAGCCAATTATCCCAGCACCATTTGTTGAAAAGGGTGTCTTTCCCCACCATATGTTTTTGTTCGCTTTGTCGAAGATCAGTTGGCTGTAAGTATTTGGGTTTATCCCTGGGTTCTCTATTCTGTTCCCTTTGTCTATGTGCCTATTTTTATACCAGTACCATGCTGTCTTGGTGACTATGGCAGGGAACGTGAGCTTTTTCCCCGCAATCCTATACTGGCCCCTTCTACTGCATAATTATTTTCTTCTCTTGAATTTTACATGCTAGTCTTCTATTTACATTTTAACATTTATATAAACAAATGATGCCACTTTTACATTTTCTTTATTAGATTAGGAGGTCGTACAGGATCACATTTATAGGTCTTTAAATTAAGGAGTAATATTCTTTGAAAGTTTATGAAACTATTCAGTATAAACACCACAGAATCAGATGTTTTGGAAAATGTAGGGTCTTTTATGACATTTTTTCATTTCTTCCTCATTCACTGTATAATTTTTAGTCTCATTTTTCCAAAGCAATTACAGATCCGTTGATCTAATTTGACCTTAAGAGCCCTGCTGTAAAGGCAGGTCATATCATCCCCATACTGAAGACAAAGAACTGAAGTCCAAGACAGGCAGTGTCCTTCAAGCTGCATACTTCCATGGTAGTGTAGGTGGTGTGTCCATGCTCCCAGGTGTAAGGCCCCTAGACTGAGCCCTGCTGACCCTGATGACAGTCCTATGGAAGGAGCCAGTATCCCCCGCACATCTCAGGACTCACAGACATGTGGGAGGAAGAAAATATGAATGTGCACTAATCTGAAGCACGGCCTTGAACAAAGGCAAAACAGACTCCAGGCCTCATTTTCAGTTCTGGGATGGATACTCTAATCTCTCTAAATCATGCCACTGAATGACCTTTTACACATTGAGATAGCATTTCTTCCACACCAGGCCATGTCCTGTGGGTGTGTGAGGTGTGGCAGAATTGGGGAAATGATAATCCCTGTAGGTGGGCCAGCAGAATATCTGAGATCACCTTCAGAGCAAAGAAAACACATCATCTCCCCAAAACTCATGACTCTGACTGGTTAAAATGAGTGTCAGTGTTCTCCATCTGTCCTCGTAACAGCATCACTGGCTCTATATTGTCAGATCTTTAATACTAACTTTCTGCCCAGTGAGCAATGACTCATACAAAGCTCAGTGCCCATTGGTTCTTTTCTCAGAGTCTGTCCAATCCTAGGGTCACAGAAGACTGCTTGGGTTCATGGTCTCTAATATTTCAGACAGGAGCTCCCTTTAATGAGTTCTTGTTTTCCTGACTGCAGCTCTCTTCATTCTGCCAACCTTTTCCAACTCCATGATGATCCTGCAGGTTTCAGGGGGCCCCTGGACAGTGGCTCTGACAGCATTACTGATGGTGCTGCTCATATCTGTGGTCCAGAGCAGGGCCACTCCAGGTAAGAGCAGAGCTGCTATTCCTGGAGGGTCTGGCTCAGGGAACAATTCCTAGGGGACTTTCTCTTTATGGAACCAGACTCTGAGACAGCATGTGGGGCTCCTGCCACGGCCTAGTGTCCTTCTATCACAGCTGGAGAATCAAACTCACCTCCTATAGGATAGGTTGCTATCCACCAGGTCTATTCTCTCTCCAGGAACATGGACACAGTAAATAAGGGGAGGTGCTCAGGGGTCAAGTTGCTTGTCTATGGGGAAATGGGGCCAAGAGGTTCAGGATAACCTTGGACAGACAAGGTTTCAGAGAGAGAGGTTGGCAAGTGCAGACTCCTGGGTGTGCTCACATCTGCATCCAACCTTGAGGGGACTCAGGCAGAGAGCCCTTAGCTGGTGTGTCCAGACTACAAGTATCACTGAGGATTCAGTGCTCACAGAGAATGCCTCTCATTCTCCAGGGTGGAGCAGGAGCCAATGCTCCCTGGACAATGAAGGCAAGATGGGAGGGAGGGGGACAGGTTCGAGCCCCTAAAGGCACTCTTGTTGAAGGTATTTCTCCCAGCCTCCCCAGAACTTGGTTAGAGTATTAGGATGGGTTGAAACCTGTCAGAAGAATGAGATAAGGATGTGTGAGTACGTGAAAGAGATTGAGTGTAGGTTATCAGACAGCCAAGAAAGCAGTAACCAAGGGAAAAACCTCTGTCTCCTGCTGTCTCCTTGTGGCTGGTGTAATATTATGGCTTCTATGACCCATTGTTTTTCTCTCAGGATGTTCTTACTTTTCTGGTCCAAATTTACACCAACACCCTGAGAGGAAGGACTGCAGAGTAGGTGTCTTAGTTTTCCACTGACTTCCACCTTTCTGCATAGACCCTCCCTCTGAGACCCTTCCACATCCACCTAGGACACCCCTAGAAAGTGCTGTTCTCATGTCACCTCCTCATTTTCCAGGGTAACAGTATTCGAATCTCCTGAGGACAGCCCCTCAAACCCCAAAGCCCCTCACCTATTACCTCAGGTTCATTGTCCGGGAAAGGGTGGACAAACTGCACTTGTAGTCACAGGGGTGCTGAGAACTAACCAGCAGAATGGCTCAGCCCTGGGAACTGGAGAGGGGTGAGGTTGGGGAGAGAGGAGGCTGGAGCAGCGCTGGTGACACTGAACAGTGTCCAGCAGGAGGTCCATAGCAACAGTGTCCATAGGCAGAGTTGTTTGTAGGATGAGGGGTGGTGTTGGGAAACGCCATGGAAACCCTCAAGGTGCGGGGTAGCAGAAAGCACAGGAGGGAGCGTGATGATGGTGGGCAGTGAACAGGTGGACGGGCAAAGACTGGGTTGAGGTTGGTAGGGGAAATGAGATGAGGCAGTGGAGCCATGTGACAGGAACCGAGGGTGGGTTACCAGAGCTCCCCGTGTAGAATGAATGTCCAATCAAAGCCTGCTGGAGGGAGAGCTGGAGCCAAGGGGAGTGGGTAGAGTGGGCAGGGCCAATTCCACAATTCCCTGCATGCTCTTCCAACTCCACACACATCTCCATCCTCAGAGCACAAGAGGAAAGGCACAAGGAGCCAGGCTGTGGCTTAAAGTGAGACAGGGGAGGGTGGAGAAAAGCTTGGCTGAGACAACACCTAGGGAGCAGGAGATGACACGGCCGGTGAAAAAACCAGACTCCTGGAGGCAACACCCTTTTGTCTCTGACAAGCTTTAAAATGGGCTTTTTACAGCTGAGTTTCTTACCTCACCCCACCCACTACCCCAAGCATTAGGGCCACACTCCCGAGTCCTCCTGTCACACCAGCTGGGCACTTGCAGAAGCTCATTGTGCATTTGAGTCTTTGGGTACTCACTCTTCTGTTAATCTAACTCCTCAAATAAAATCACTAGCACAAAAGAGAGGGGGGAAGATCCAGTCAGCAAACAACCAACAAACACTTTTCAACCATTAAGATCTGGTGCCCATGGAAAGTCTTCCTGAGGTTTTCCAGTAGCTCATAAGCTGATCCAGTTCCTCTTTCATATGCATTTATTTAGAATTTTGCTCCTATTCAAACAGGTCACACAGTGAAAAGAGGAAGGGAACCAACATAGATTGAGCAGTGACAGATACAATACTATGTATTTTACGTATGTGAGCTCATTTGGTTCTCACAGCAGTTTTGCAAGGTAAATAGTATTATTACTATTTTGCCTTTCAAGAAATGGAGAGTTAGAAGGTTGTTTCTTGTCCAAGATAACTTAGTAATCAGTTGTAGTGCAAGAACTGGAATCCCTACCTGTGACATGTTCCTTTTCTTACCCATATGGCCTCCATTATATCTTTCTGCAATTATATTTTAATATATCCTATTCTGAGTGACAGATGAATTCACTCAGATCATTGGTTTTCAAATTGTGCTCTGGGTAACTCAATTGTCAAAGATTCCGCAAACAGGATAAAGTTTTCCATATACAAAAAAAAAAAATGAAGTTTCAAATTCCACCATATACTCATCACTTATGTCTGCTTTGCAGGTAAAATTCCATTTAAAAAGTTAAATGTTGCAAAAGAAAGTTTTGAAATTCTTACTCTTCACTAAAACATGTTCTCTTATTGGTGAATGAGGAAGAGGAACAAAGACTAACAAATTAAAATGAGAGGATACACACTCAGTGTGGGGCACTTGAATAGGGAGGGGCGGACTAAAGGGGCTGGGGGCGATGGGCCTGGGTGTTTAGGGGGCTGGAGCCCAAGGCACCAGGAGAAGAGGCAGGTTAAGATATCTAAAGTCCTGGGATCTTGCCTTAGAGATGACACTGGAAACTACAGGCCGAGTCTATGGTGCCGCTGTGCCCAGCCCCACCCCTTCTCTACTGTCCTCTGCCACCAGCTGTGCATCTTCTATGAGGGGTGAGGTTAATAAACGTGAGTTGCTAATTTGTAGAACATGAAACAGGTGTCCAAAACAAACCTTAATTTGCTGTGTGCAAATCACAGCACCTTAATTTCCCCACTGTGACCAGGAACAGATCAGGTCTGAAGAGGCTCAGACAGAAGCAAGCAGACATGTGCTGGGTCATTGCTACTTCTGTATACACATGCACCTGCCAGACACTGCCCATGGTGCTCCCTAGGAAGAACCGCAGGTGGAAAAGGCTGCCACATTTCTTTATGTAAAAATGACACCATCAATGCCTCTAAACCTAAAGGAGTCCAGTCACTTAGTTTTCTGGTTGTTCTGGTGATTTTCGTTGATTAAGATATTTTCCAGGTGTTTTGAGATCAAGTCTTTCTACAGCCATGTTTGAAAAGTGAAAATTAACTTTCAGGCTATATTGTCTTTCTTATGGCAAACTTGAAGAAGTTTTAAGAAATGCATTTCTGGCCAAGTGCGGTGGCTCATGCCTGTAATCTCAGCACTTTGGGTGGCCGAGGAGGGCAGATCTCGAGGTCAGGAGTTCGAGACCACCCTGGCCAACATGGTGAAACCTGGTCTCTACTAAAGATACAAAAATTATCTGGGCGTGGTGGCGCACGCCTGTAATCCCAGCTACTCAGGAGGCTGAGGCAGGAAAACTGCTTGAACCCGGGAGGCGGAGGTTGCAGTGAGCTGAGATTGCACCACTGGACTCCAGCCTGGGCGACAGAGTGATACTCTGTAGAAAGAAAGGAAGAAAGAAAGGAAGGAAGGAAGGGAGGGAGGGAAGTATACTCCATTGAAAGAAGAAAGAAAGAAGGAAGGAAGGGAGGGAGGGAGGGAGGGAGGGAGGAATGCATGGAAATGCATTTCTGCATTTCCAGCATGCAGAGATTTCCAGCATGCAGAACAGCAAGAGCAACTTGAGGTATTCTCAAGAAACTGGCAGAGAAGAGAGAGAACCTAGCTGTAGAAAGGGAAAGAAGGAATGGAGGGCTTCCTGGAGGAGGTGGCATTTGAGCCAGGACTGACATCAGGATGGAAATGTCAGGCAGGGAGTTGGGTAGGGGGAGCAGCTCTGCCCTCCAGGTCCCCAACTCCTCCCATCCCTACTGTTTCTCTGCCTGAGGGACCCTCCCCCTGATGAGATTCTGCTCCTCCCTGAGACTCCACGTGAAATGTCTCCCCCTCCTCCTCCAGCCGCCAGCAGAAGGGGCTGCTTTCCCTTCAGCGTGCGCCCCTCCCTAATGATCACTCAGCCACCCTGAGCAGTGAGTCTCATTCTTTTCAGTAAATCCTCTCGCTGCGTGGTGAGAAAACTGAGGCCTGGAGAGAGTCTGTGACCTGCCTAGAACCACAGAACTCGGTAGTAGGAAAAATCGTATTTTTAAATCCAGCCCTGAGTGGGAAGATTTGAGGAAATAGCTAATATTGAGGAGGGGGGTGTTGTTGGGGGTGGCACCACCCCCATCTCTCCCTGCTCTTCACAGAGAATTCCGTCTACCAGGAACGGCAGGAATGCTATGCGTTCAATGGGACTCAGCGCGTTGTGGACGGGCTCATCTACAACCGGGAGGAATACGTGCATTTTGACAGCGCAGTGGGGGAGTTCCTAGCAGTGATGGAGCTGGGGCGGCCCATAGGCGAGTACTTCAATAGCCAGAAGGACTTTATGGAACGGAAGCGAGCCGAGGTGGACAAGGTGTGCAGACACAAGTACGAGCTGATGGAGCCACTCATCCGGCAGCGCCGAGGTGAGGGCTGTGGACCAGGGCTCCTGGGGCAGCCGGGGGGGCCGGGCCCAGGGAGTAGGGGCAGCCGGGCCGGCCTAAGGGACCTTAGTGCCAGGAGGGAAGGGGACTTTGAGCTGGGGATTGATGGGAGGAGCCCAACCGGAGCTTGTCAGGAGGGTGAGCACGGAGATTGGGCTGAGCATGGAGTGAGGAGGATGGAGGGAGAGAGACCCCTGGGACTTCATCAGGCCTGGCAGCTGACTGCATGTGGGGTGAGGGGAAACGAGGCCACAGGACATCGTGCAGGGGTGCGGTGTGGAGATGAAGGTGGAGATGGCACAGCAGGCCACGCAGAGAAGAAACCTGCAGGGAGATGGCCGGGTTTGAGGTGCTTGAGGGGCCAGATGGGTGGTCTGATGGGCAGGTGAGAGAAGAGTTTGCAGCGGGGGAGGGGCCTGGCCTACATGAGACCACCCAGGGAGAGAACACCCATCGGGAGGAGCATAGGACTGGATCCTGGGAACTGGACATTGTGATTTTGTAACGGCTCCATTGTCTGGGGTATACACCCTGGTTCTTTGTCATGGCCGAGAAAATTAACAACACAGACACACATGAGGAGTGGGTTTGGGAGTGGAAAGTTTAATAGAAAAGAAGAGAGAGAAAAAATCCTTCCTCATGCTGAGAAAGTGGGTTGCCCAAAAGAGGGTCTGCGGTTTGTGGTGGAATGCAGTCGGTTTTGTACAGAGGTTGAGGAGGCGGTGATTGATTTACACAGCGCTCAGGGAATTGGTTTGACCAGTTGTGTCATTTACATAGCCCACGAAAAGACTGACTCTCCCACCCTAGTCTTTTATTATTCAAATACGGTCTCTAACTGGTGGTGGACAGGATACCTGTACATGTGGTTTTACCTGGAGGCTGCCATGACACCTGTAAACGTGGTGACAAGGAAAAGAGAGTGGGAACCGCCATATTGGATGTACCTGACTTCCAGGTACAGCTGCCAGCATTTACATATAAAAGCTTCTAGTTTGCATATCTATGCCTGAGTTTTCAGGCTGCTTTCTGTTAGAGAAGAAATGGTTTGGGGCTGCTTTTTATTAAAGGAAAATTCCACTGAGAATTTTTACCCTTTCTAGCTGCCTAAAAATAATTTCTTAATAACTCCTGTATTATTTCCTCCCTCAGGAGACGTAACCATAACTGCTGTTAGGGGGTGTTGGACGACGATTCTTTCTGGCTACTTCCTGCTGAAAAGGGGCGTCGTGTTGGGGGGCTGCAGTTGGGGCTCCTCCTGAGGTTGATCTAAGGCTTCTTGGAAGAATGGCATGTCCATGTGTGGCTTTGTTTGCAGCACCATTTGAAGTTTGATTGCTTCTAGGCAAAAAGAGATAAATTTTACAAGAAGGTTTAAAATATAGGGTTACCATATGAGTATTAAGATTACCACCTATAGACTGTAACTATGGCAGTAAAGTTTGATACCTGTTACACCAATGGATTGTAATACTGGTTTGTCTCCACTAGATGTCGCTGTACATTACCAGAAACGTTAATATAAAAGCATCATTTCCTTTGAGAAAAACATGTTTCCCCCTTGACTTGCTATTAGGGCATAATTTTTGGTTTAGGCCATTCTTTATAACTTATGATATGATTGGGAGAAAAACGTTATTGGATGGCTAAAATAACTTTGGTGTTAATCTTGGCAATTCCTTTCCTTTAATTATTAAATTTCTTAATTATTAAATTCTTTCATGACTTTCACAGACCCTCTTACAATGTACTCAACTTTCTGACTTGTCTTAAACAACCAGTCATTTCCTTTTAGGACAAGAATTTACTATACAAGATCCTTTCTTATATAAAATCTCTTTATTTGTAACCTTCTTTCCATAGCTTAGAGTGCACCATTTACCAATCTTCAATAAAAAAGTCCTATCAAACTTAGTGATAGTAAAATTTTCATGCTTACTTCTTGTCTGTAACTATTACTCCTGCTATAAGCAAAACAAACTTGACCAAATCCTTCCTGCAATTATTAATTCTGTCATAAAGATGATAATTAGGCAAAATATTACAGGAATTAGAATTTTACAACCAGAATTCCACATTGTGGGTGCCACAGTATACAGTTCTATTGCAAATAACAGCATGATGATAACAATTCCCACAAAAGTGACGTAGTAAATAATTTCCATTTAAAACTTTACTTGCCAAGATATAATGTTTCCCTTTGGGGATTTACAAAGTAACAAATG
This sequence comes from Homo sapiens, assembly GCF_000001405.40. Classification (NCBI taxonomy): domain Eukaryota; kingdom Metazoa; phylum Chordata; class Mammalia; order Primates; family Hominidae; genus Homo; species Homo sapiens. Next base: position 4,539,206 of record NT_167246.2, read on the forward strand.
CAGTCCCATGTATAATTAAAATCTCTCTGCAAATATGCATTAAAAAAAAGTTCTAATACTGAGCAGTGAATTTTGAGAGGAAAGGTAGAAATGATAAAGAGTACCTGGTGAGGTAGGAATGGCGCTAAGGCGAGTAGCCCTCACTCATTTACTTACCTTTTATGATTTTCAGCTTAAGATCTTCTATATCTCCACATTGATATTCAGGATGTTCCTCTGGGCTGTCAAAGGTTGCTCCCTCAGCTTTTCAGGCTTTGACTTGAGTGTGATATATTCAGAAGTTGATACTTGTAACTTTTACTGCTGTGGGGGTTGAAAGAAGAACTGTGTAGGGCCCTTCCCAGCCTGGCTTAGGGAAGGAGAGAGAGATGAGTTTTCACCAATACCAAATTTTCTGGCTAAGTAAAGGTGGTCCAATTTCCTGGGGTTGGCCTTTGGCTAGTTGTGTCAATTTCCGTTGGAAGTGAGCTAGAGAGGTTACATTTTTAAACAACTTAGAGGTTTTCTGCCTGAAAACAATCTCTGAGCACACTGATGATAAGTTTTATCCTTTCCTATGTGAAAAAGCTTGGTGAAGGATTTTAAGGACTTTCCATTGACTGGAGGCCAGTAAATGGAGTTTGTCATCCTCAGGGCTGGAATACCCTTAAGAAGTGGCTTATTTTATTTCTGCAGGGGAATACTGAGGTTTAATTTCTTTTATGGAGGCTTCGGAGATTAAAAGGGCTTGAAGTGTGTTAATGCCTTGAGGCTTCCCTGCCGCCTGCTTAGCTCCCTGCTCAGCTAACCTATTTCCTTTGGCTACTTCATCTGTTCCCCTTTGATGTTCCCTATAATACATTACTGCTATTTTTCATGAAAGGAAAACTGAGGATAATAACCTGTTAATTTCCTGGTGATATTTTATAGGAGATGCTTTAGTGGTAAAAGAATGTCTTTCCTTTTAAATAGCAGCATGAGCATGGAGAACTAAGAAAGCATACTTGGAGTCAGTGGAAATGTTAGCTATCTTTCCCCTGCTTAATTTAAGTGCACTTGCAAGAACTATTAGTTCAGCTAATTGAGTGCTTGTGTCTGGGGAGAGACATTAGAGTGACTATTGCTTGTCCTGCCTTACGTATTTCTTGCTTTACCTGCTGTTTGTTAGCTAAAGTCTCCCCTAGAGGACAGTAATCCTGCTACATTATGTGGGGTGTAAACAGTTAAATTATTTCCTAGGGTTAATTTGGAGGCTTTTTTGACTAGTAGAGCCACCGTGGCAATGGCTTGGAAGCATGTGTAAACAATAGGTCCTCCTAACTGCAATTAGGAGGTTGAGAAAAATATTGGAATAGAGTTTTTCCTGAGACACCCCTTACACTCACGCTATGGGAAGAAGAGAGGCCTGGATTAAAGAGGAGAAAAGAGAGAGAGACTGGCTCGAGTGTTTAGAAGGAGGTCTACTTTCCTTCCTTCAATTTCCAGAATCACCTGGTGGCTCCCGTGCTGTAATGGCAGTTTGAGCCACTGGAGCTGGGGTTTGAGCCCCGGGACCCATCAGTCCTGCTGGACCATCTGTGAGACTGGTTCTGACTCCAGTGACCTCCGTCTCCGGGGACAGTTTGATTTCCAGTGGTCTCCACCACAGGCTGGATAGGGTTGAGGTGGCTTCCTCTTGCTGTTTGGGCACTCCTTTTTAAAATGCCCTGGCTTGCCACACTGATAGCAACTAGCGGATGCACCTCAGAAATCTTGGACTTTGCAAGCTTGCAAAGCTGCTACTAGAGCCTCTGTCTTTCTCCTGAGCTTTCTCTCTTTCTGGGGGGCCTCCTCCTGGTCCCTATTATAAGTGGCCACCCTCAGGAGGTTCCCCAAGGTGCTATCTGGTCCTATAGCGTGCTTCTACAGTTTCCTTCTAATATCAAGAGCTGCCTGTGTAATAAACTTGTCTTTACAATGAGCCATCCCTTGACTGAATTAGGGGCTAAGGAAGTGTGCTCTATTAGTGCCTCTCTCAGCCTTTCCATAAAAGCTGCAGGATTCCCATCTGGCTTTTGGTCTATCATAGACAGTTGAGAGGAATTAAGAGGTCAGGCCTTAGTTCTTCATAGACCCTCTAATATGCATATTTTAAAAATGCTTCCATTTCTATTCATTTGCAGAGCTACTGGGGTCCCAGTTGGGGTTGTCGAGAGGAACTGCTTCCCTTCCTACTGGGAATGGTGTTTCTGCTATTTTTTTCACTTTCCCTATCTCTTTTCTTCCCTTTTGGTGTATTATAGGAGATATGTTGCTCATCTCCAAAATTATCTGCTGCCTGCAGAGCTGCCTGCTTTTCAACTGCGGTTAGAGTTTGGTTTAGGAGCAGCATAACATCCTTCCATGTGAGGTGAAACACCTGAGTTAAATTCTGGACAGCTTCTATATACCTATTGGGGTTATCAGAAAATTAGCATAAGTCTTCCTTTGTTTGCCTAAGGTCCTGTAATGAAAAGGGAGCTTGAGGTTGAAGGGGGCCAGCCCCTCCACACCTGTGGGTATTTCTCATCAGGTGGGACGAGAGACTGAGAAAAGAAATAAGACACAGAGACAAAGTATAGAGAAAGAACAGTGGGCCCAAGGGACCAGTGCTCAGCATACAGAGGACCTGTGCCGGCTCTGGTCTCTGAGTTCCCTCAGTATTTATTGATCACTATCTCTATCATCTCAGTGAGGGGGATGTGGCAGGACTATAGGGTAATGGTGGGGAGAGGGTCAGCAGGAAAACATGTGAGCAAAGGACTCTGTGTCATAAATAAGTTTAAGGAAAGGTGCTGTGCCTGGATGTGCACATAGGCCAGATTTATGTTTGACTTTACACAAACATCTCAGTGCAGTAAACAGCAGTATTACCACCAGCATGTCTCACCTCCAGCCATAAGGCGGCTTTCTCCTATCTCAGTAAATAGAATGTATGATCGGGTTTTACACCGAGACATTCCATTCCCAGGGATGAGCAGGAGACAGATGCCTTCCTCTTATCTCAACTGCAAAGAGGCCTTCCTCTTTCACTAATCCTCCTCAGCACAGACCCTTTATGGGTGTCAGCCTTGGGGACAGTCAGGTCAGGTCCCTTCCCACAAGGCCATATCTCAGGCTGTCTCTCTCAGTGGGGGGAACCCTTGGACAATACCCAGGCTTTCTTGGGCAGAGGTCCCTGCGGCCTTCCACAGTGCATTGTGTCCCTGGGTACTCGAGACTGGAGAATGGCAATGACTTTCACCAAGCATACTGCCTACAAACACATTTTTAACAAAGCACACCCTGCACAGCCCTAAATCCATTAAACCTTGAGTCAATACAGCACAGGTTTTCTGCGAGCACAGGGTTGGGGCTAGGGTTACAGATTAACAGCATGTCAAGGCAGAAGAATTTTCCTTAGTACAGATCAAAATGGAGTTTCTTATGTCTTCCTTTTTCTACATAGACACAGCAACAGTCTGATTTCTCTTTACTTCCCCCATATTGGCAACCCTAAATAAGGGGAATTCTCAGATGGTTCCCTTGGAAATTGCCTTTCTAATTCTGGGGGATTATTTTCTATAGGCCTACCTGATATGCCTATTTAAAAAGCTGGGCTGATCTTACAATGCTTGCAAAGGTTTAGTAAAAAAGCCATGCCCTTGTGCAAAAGAAAATGAGTCACTTTTCTCTTCAAAGTCCTGAGGTTAAAGGAGTTCCAGTGTTTCAGAGTGCACTCCAGAGGGGTGCAAGCTGAAGCTGGTCTGTCACCCATCTAGAAAAAGAAGTGAGAATAAAAGTATCCTTTCGTCCCCATTCTTTCATTGTGACCCAGGGTGGAGGAGAAGACAGTGGAAGTGTCCTCCCTACTGTTTTCTCTCCTTGGTTCCTGGGTCCTGGCAACGTGTTAAATGTACCACCCATGGTTGTAGGCGTGGTCCTCCAAGCCGTGGAACTGGATAAACTAAGTGATGGGATTAACCATACTTTACCCACACAACCTTAGCTTATCCACCTTATGTGATCCCCTTTGACGTCCTAAATTTGTGTGATCTGCCTGGCTCCCAGAAAAATGGATCTCCAGAGAGACTATGTCATCTTTGGGTAGGCTCCTTTAACGGAGGCAGTGTGCTAGATTGCCTGCCATTACGGCCCATGCTAAGACATTTACCCTTAGCAAAATGGCTCTGGTTAACTTCCGAACCTAAAATCCCCTTGCTAATTAAGTACTATCCTAATTGGAGACAGAAATGAACGTAGGAATCTAATGGCTGTTTTTCCTGCTGATGAGACAGTATCAGAACTAAAATTTCACTACAGAGGACATTTTACTCCTAACTGTTGAAGACAGTGCTTTCTCGTTCACAGAAGAGGCTTTTCTAGCGGCACGAAAGAATTTGGAAGCTGCAGTGTTACGGTAAAAAACCGACAAGGTGCCTGATGAAGAGGATTTCTATTTCCACTAGGTGGTGCTGTTGGCTTAGCACTACCATGTGCTCGCCAGAGAGGATAGAGAGTAACAGTTACTGCCTGTGGCATTTGCCGATCTTCCCTAACAGGAGTGTTTCCCTGAACTGTAAAACTTCCCGCAAATTGCACACAGAGAGAGAGAGGACAGGAGACACAGTGACCACGGATACAAAGGAAAGGAAAATTTTGCAACGGGATAGCTGGAGATGCATTACCAACACCTGGACAGGCTGTCGGAGGCTGCGTTCAGTCCAGAAGCCTTTGAATAACACCAGGGTGTGCCCTGGCCAGAAATTTTCAGTTGCCCCAAGACTTTTCCCAGCCTCATGCGATGGTGAAGTTCTCCATGAAAGGAAACTGGTATGAAGAGATCCTTGAGATTAAAGAACAGATTTGACGTTTGCTCTATACTCACCACTCCGATGTTTCTATCTTCCATTCTGATTTGGATCCCAGATGAGCTCCCAAAATGAAACAGCTCCACTGTCTAGGGTATATACCCTGGTTCTTTACCATAGCTGAAAAAGAATTCACAGCACGGACACACACAAGGAGTGGGTTTAGGAGCGGAAAGTTTAATAGAAAAGAGGAGTGAGAGGAAAAGCTTCCTAATGCTGATAAGGCAGGTCACCCAAGAGAGGGTCTCCTGTTTCTGGTGGAAAGCAATTGGTTTTGTACAGAGGCTTGAGGAGGCAGTGATTGACTTACATAGGGCTCAGGGGATTGGTTTGACCAGGTGTGTCATTTACATAACCTGCAAAAAGACTGGCCCTCCCACCCTAGTATTTTATTATACAAATGAGGCCTCCACCTGGTGGCGGCCATGATACCTGTACTCGTGCTTTAACCTGGAGGCTGCCTCGACACCTGTAAACGTAGAAGGAAAAGAGGGTGAGAACAGCAATATTGAATTACCTGGCTTCCAGGAACAGCTGCCAGCATTTACATAAAAGCTTCTAGTTTGCATATCTATGCCTGAGTTTTCAGGCTGCTTTCTGTTAGAGAAAAAATGGTTTGGGGCTGCTTTTTATTAAAGGAAAATTCCACCAAGAACTTTTACCCTTTTTAGCTGCCTAAAAATAATCTCTTAATAACTCGTGTATTAATTTGGCCAAGAGAGAAATCCCGTGAAGGAGACCAAAAAGCACTAGTGAGCCTCTCACTAAACAAGGACCTTTGTCCTAGAGAAAGAGGAAAGAATGAAGGGGGAGGAGGAGGAGGCTCAGGAGGTCACACCATTGATCCCTCTGTTCCTGGGAAAGTGAAAGGAAGGTCATCTGATAAGATGGAGAAGATGCACACATTGAGTAAGGATGAGGAGAGTGACATGGGTTTAGGAAAGTTGCTGGCGTAATTGGTTGAGAGAGGTGTCCAAATAAAAGTAATACAATTTGCAAAATCTGTCACTAAGACTTCATAGAGGCCCAAATCAGCGACATGGCAGCATTTTCTTTCATGGTAATCAGCTGCCAGATTGCAGAGACCCCCTGATGCCAGACTAAGGAGTGTGGATTTCTCCTCTAGGCCAGCAGGTCCCCAACCTCACTGCTCAGAAGACTCTCCTTGAGATCCTCTGTGAAGCAAAGATTCCCCCAGACTCACTGCCTAGAGATTCAGATTCCCTGGGTGGGGAGGTCTGGAGATCTGTGTTTTTAATCAGCTCCCAAGTGATTCCCATGTAACCAGATATGTGTCAGAACACTGAAGATTTTTGAAAATCTTCAGAAATCTTAAAATGACAAGGCTGGAAATCTGTTTTCAGAAGACTGTAAAGTCAGTTGGAGAGAGCAGGAACCAGAGGCAGGGAGATGAGATAAGAAACTGCTATTATTGTCCAGGGAAATGATAATAAGGGCATGAATTAGAATAGAGAAAAACACAGGGGTAGGGGAGATGGAGGAAAGAGGAGGATAGAAGTTCTGGCCATTCCAGTGTGGATGCCCACCCAAATCTAGAAGTAACTGAGCAAAGGCAACTAGAACAAACAGGAATCCTTGCCTTGGTGAAATATATTTGAACTGGGTCAGAAATGAGGCCACTGGGTATCAAGCCTTAGCTGCAGCGCCCCCTGGAGGTCTCTGATGTGCTCCAGGCTGACCAGCTCCCGTCAAAGAAGATGGAGCAAAGTGCTTCTCATTGAATGTTCTGGGACCTTAAAACAGACAACCATATATCCCATGACTTTCATGCTTCCCAGGACACCTATGGGGAAGAAGTTCCACTTAATCTACAGTTGGGATTCAGACATGGGTTGACCAGTCTGATGGACGTTGAGTTTATGGAGGTGGTTGAAGTAGAACGAGAGCCAAGTGCCTCTGAAATAAAATCACATCGAGGGAAGAGGCTGTGAATGTGAATAATCCTGGACACAAGGCAAAAATACCATAGGGAGTAAGGGTTGTGGGTTAGTTCAAGACTAACCCCCATGTTCATTTACCTGGCCCAGGCCCATGTCAGTGTATTTGTGTTCTCAAGAACAGAGTAAATAAGGACCTAGAAGCTCTGATTTGGAACATTCCTGTAATTGAGCTGTTCTCTAGGGGCAGTTGGCCCTTTTCTGCCTTCTGTGGAGGAAAAGGGTACTAGTGGCTGAGGTCCAAAGAAAAAGCTGCAGGTGGTAGCGTGGAAATTGATCTGTAAGCGGCAGAAAAAGAGGGGGCAAAAATAGAGAGGTGCCAAGGCACAGCCAACACCTGGTTATCTGAGAACCTCAATGGATGTGACAACACAGTGCAGAGGAGGAACTTAGGGAAAAGGATGGGATTTCTACTATTTAAGCATGTAGGGGCTCAGGATATTATGTAAATAGGATGATTTTGAGTGTTTGTAGGCGAGGCCAAAAAATCCATAGGTTACTTGCAGAATAAGTCATGTCAAGCTCACTTTATTTTCTTGATATATTTATGAAATATAGTTATTGGATTAATAGACCATGAGAATGTCGTTTATATATATATTAATTTCAAGAAACTATTTGAGCAAATTTTTCATCTTTTGCATCAGGATAGAGCACTCAAAAGATAAGGTAATATCGCTGCTGATTAAATATTCTTTGTCCAAAGGCTGTTAATCAGTGGCTGATAGATAAGATTTCTTTTAAATGTGCTACAAACTGGTAAGTTTGTGTGCCTCCTATTCTTCTCAATACTATTTCTATAGTTTCAGTACTCCCCTTATCCGCTGACCTAATCACATCATTCCTACTTTTTTTTTTTTTTGAGACGGAGTTTCACTCTTGTTGTCCAGGCTGGAGTGCAATGGTGCGATCTTAGCTCATGCAACCTCTGCCTCCGGGGTTCAGGCGATTCTCCTGCCTCAGCCTCCTGAGTAGCTGGGATTACAGGCATGCACCACCACACCCAGCTAATTTTGTATTTTTAGTAGAGACAGGGTTTCTCCATGTTAGTCAGGCTGGTCTCGAACCACCTGCCTCAGCCTCCCAAAGTGCTGGGATTACAGGTGTAAGCCACTGCGCCTGGCCATCATTCCTATTTTCAACATCTAAAAATCAATTCCATAATGAGCATGTCTAAGAAATAATAATCTCAAATGCTATTCCACTTTTCCACTTCGCCACTCCTAGTCCAGCCTAGGGTGAACATCCCCCCTCCAAGAAGGAGCCCCGGCAGCACCACCACCTGCTTGTCTACCACGTGACAGATTTCTACCCAGGCAGCATTCAAGTCCGATGCTTCCTGAATGGACAGGAGGAAACAGCTGGGGTCATGTCCACCAAGCTGATCCGTAATGGAGACTGGACCTTCCAGATCCTGGAGATGCTGGAAATGATCCCCCAGCAGGGAAACATCTACACCTGCCAAGTGAAGCACCCCAGCCTGGACAGTCCTGTCACCGTGGAGTGGAGTGAGGGTCTGATGACCCTCTAGACTCCACCTCTGAAGAGCAGGGGACTCTCTGGCTCTGGGGTCCACTCATCTGGTTTTATGTGTCTATACCCTGGGACCATGTCCGACCCCATTTTTCTTCTATACAAGACCCTGAGTGTAGTTTTAACCTGGGGACAATGGAGACTTGCCTGCCCCCGGCCTAGGAGGTCCTAAGGATTCATAGTTCCTCTCCTTGTCCAAGAATCTAGGGATGCAGACACCTTCCTGAACTGACCTTACACATGGGAACTGTTGTCTTCCTTCAGCCTTTTAGCTTATTCTAAGTTATTTTGAGAGGCAACTAATTGAATCTGAATTTGTCTGTTGTTGAGGTCACACCCTCTGTTCTAGAATTGAGAGAGTGACTGTTTCTCAATTTCCTGTCATGCAAGGTGTATTCCCCTCGCTCTCCTCGTGCCAATATTCTGCATCAGGCTGCAGGATCTCAGACAGGACATGAGCAGGGGTGCAGCTGCTGGAGGTGACTCTGAACCTAAGCCTGTTCTTCCTAGAGGCACAGTCTGATTTTGTGCAGAGCAAGATGCTGACAGGAGCCAGGGGCTTCATGCTGGGGCTCATCATCTGTGGAGTGGACATCTTCACGCACAGAAGGAGCAAGAAAGGTGAGAAATCCTGTGAGGTGACCGATACCCACCTTTCTCCTGACTTGCTCACTCTTCTTCCATGATGAGGGGCTGAGACAAAAAAGCAATGCCAGAGAGCTTGCTGAAATCACATAGTCAGGAAACAAAGACAGCTTCTAAGGAGAGAGGAATCCCAGCCTGGCATCTTAATGCAGCCAGATGCATAAGGTCCCAGTTACTCAGGCTCCTGCAGAGCGTCCATTGAGTGATGGGCAATGGAAGTGTGATGGAAACGTTTCTCTAATTGTCTGAGGTGGTTTCAGTAGCTGAATACATTCTCTTTCTTCCTTTCATTTCAGTTCAACAAGGATCTGCATAAACAGGCAATATTCCTGCTTTGATTTCCTTGTTGGGGGAGTTACAGGAGGACATAAGTCCTTTCTGTACATTGTGACACTGAGCTCCTCTAGGAAGAGAGTCTCAGGCCTGAACCCCTGTTTCAACCTCAGCCCTGGGGTGAGTGGGGAAAGAGCATTGCATGGCTCCATTGCTAAAGGAAGCTCAGATCAACTCTATTCTTTATCAGCCTGAGATTCAGCCTCTCACCGTTATTTTTCTCTCCTGGGACTTAAAGGAAGGGGGCCAGCAACCTGGGATTACTGTTTTTTACCTCCACAGGGTTGCTGACCTTGCCTAAAAGACTAATGTACCTTGGAACAAGCATTTTCTGTTTCTTTAGTCCCAGTATCTGCTTCGAGGACAGACCCCCAGCCTCCCAAGAGGATGCTGCTGCTGAGTAGTTGCACTGAAGCCAGTTTCTATGATTCTGTTCCTGGATTCAATGCATGATTTCTCTCATGGGGCCTCCAACCAAGTTCCTTTCTCCTTAGTGCCATGAGTAATCAAAACCCAACATGATTGTTTTCTGTTAAGAATATACACCAAGTCATGTCTCATCACTTTTTTTTCTTGAGGGTTTTAGCAAACAGTAAGAGTTAATAAAGAAGTTCATTGTGGTTTAGACATAAGAAAGAAGAAAACCATGAAAATCCATCCAAACTATTGTATAAGGTGGCCTGTTGGACATAGACCTCTCCTGGATTTACTATATTTCAGTGAGCTGCCCCATCCTCATGTTTGGTGTCTTCATCCATTTAGGTCTGAAACCACTATTCTTAGCTATTCAGTGGTGAACAGACTGCAAATCTGTGTTATAGGGCCCATATTAACATAGCACTGATTCAACATATAACTTACTAAGAGCATGTTTTAGCATTACTGTTAAGAAATTAAATAAGCATCAGAATTTAAAACGATAAATATAATCTAACACACTTTCAACACTTTCTTTGCATGCCATCACAAATACTCCTTAACCAAATGTTGCTTGGCCTTTTGAATGCATCAAGTAGACGACATTTATCCTCTAAGTCTGCATTCATTCACCAGCCTAGACCTCCTGAGCTAATAATTCATACAGTGAGAAACGCCTCCCCATTGTTGAAAGTGCAAAGCAATAGGTGTGGCACTCTTTCAAACACTGATCTTTTTTTTACAATCCAAAATTTTTATGTGTTTTGCATTTCATATTAAGTTACTGTAAATCAAGGTAGAAGACATGTTTGGTCTAAGCTTTCCTTTTCGTGTAGAGGATGGATTCTTAACTCCTGATACACATAATGAGCACTCAGTGGCTCTCTGATACATCCAGTTGTTGGCTTCCTTCTCCCTGACTTCTCACAAGCAGCTTCTGGGCCTTGTGTGCCCCTGGGCGCCTATCCCTGGTCAGTTTACCAGAGCTACCCGTGTTCCTCTCACTATCCAATCAGAGTCATCTCCTTCCATTTTTGTCCCCTGGACGCATGCTGTAGGTGTCAGCCGTACCCAGAGTGGAGTGAACAATCTCCAGACTAACTCTTGCAGGATGCAAAACTGAGGTATCTGCACCCATAATGCACCTGTATCCTACAATTACAAGTCCAGGATATGCATTCCTAGGAAACTGAGAATATAAGGAGTCACAGAAAGGCATCAGATGTGTCTAGCTCTGACATACACAGGTATTTATTGAACTCTGGGATTTCTTAGGAAAAATGCAGTGCAGAGAAAGGTTCCTGATGAGACCACAGCATACAGACCATCCAGTGTGGGCACCACCTTGTCACTACACTTTAAATTCTTCATATTGATTGAGGGCTATCTAAATGTCAGACCCTTTGCTGAGTGCTAGGTGCAGGAGGATCATAGGCAGCCAGGAGGTAGAGGGGTCTTGGGGTACATAAGTCATTGTGGTTGAAGAGCAGAGATTCAAAAAAAAGTTAGGCCTGGAGATTTAAAGGAGACCGAAGCTGGTGACTTCCTTATGTCAACTTCTGACTGAGAAAGTTTGACACCTGGAGTAGAATAAACACAGTGGGGTTAGGACTGCCAGCTTAGTGTTTTGTCCCCCATCCCTTTCCATCCCTGGTCCCTTCATTTTCTGACCCTCACAGTGTGAATAAACTGTCACAGATGCCAGACCATCTCCTTCTTGTCCAGGTGCACAAATAACTGCTCATCTTCATCAGATTCAAACATATACTCCCCAGAGGATCTGTGTGTCTGCACAAACTCTGCATACGTTGACACATGGTCTGCTGCATGAAGGGGAAGAAGACTGCAGAATGATGAACACATAGGAAACTACACAGAATACAAGAAGCAAGCAGGTAATGGGAAAGTTTTTAGGAATGCAAGGGAATAACACAGAAAATGAGAAATGCAAAAATGAATGAAAAGAAAAGGAATGGGGATAAACAATGATAGAAATGACTCATAGAAGATTTCAGTTGTTTCCCTGGTCTCTGAAGACTTACACAACCCTCACATCATTCCAATAATGATAACAATGAACACAATCAGAAAATATTCACTGAACATGTACCATGTGCTCAACTTATTCACTGAATCCTCACACTTCCACGTAGAAGTGTTCAAAGAAGGCCGGGCATGGTGGCTCACCCCTGTAATCAGCTGGGCATGGTGGCAGGTGCCTGTAGTCCCAGCTACTCAGGAGGCTGAGGCAGGAGAATGGCGTGAACCCAGGAGGTGGAACTTGCAGTGAGCCGAGATCGCGCCACTGCACTCCAGTCTGGGAGATAGAGTGAGACTCCTTCCCAAAAAAAAAAAAAAAAAAAAAAAAAAGTGTTCAAAGAAAAACTTCTGGCCAGGCACGGTGGCTCACTCCTGTAATCCCAGCACTTTGGGAGGCTGAGGCAGGTGGTTCACTTGAGGTCAGGAATTCAAGATCAGCCTGGCCAACATGGTGAAACCCCTTTGTCTCTACTAAAGATACAAAAATTAGCCAGGCATGGTGTCTGTAGTCCCAGCTACTTGGGAGGCTGAGTCAGGAGAATCACTTGAACCGGGAGGAGGAGGTTACAGTGGGCTGAGATTGCGCCACTGCACTCCAGACTGGGTGACGGAGTGAGACTCTGTCTCGAAAAAAAAAAACAGAAAAAAGAAAAAAAGAAAAACTTCATCTGAATTCAATTTAAAAGAGTCAAATTGAGCAATGAACGATTCATGAATCAGGCAGCCTCCCGAGGCAGAGTAGGCTCAGAGACTCCATTGCAGGCATGTGGTGGAAGATTTATGGACAGAAAAAGGAAAGTGACATACAGAAAACAGAAGTGAGGTACAGAAACACCCAATTGATTACAGCTGGGTGTATCCTTATTTGAACACAGTTTGAACAGTTGGCTACATATGATTGGCTGAAACTTGGTGATTGACACAAGTGTAGGCTGTTTACACCTCCACTTGTTATAGTTCACGATGTACAGAGAAACCTTTAGGCCAAACTTAAAATATGTAAGGAGGCAGCTTTAGGCTAAACTTGATTTAACAATTTTCCTCTTTTGGTAATCTTCTCAATTTTTAGAGATTTACCAAAACTTCAGTCATCGATGCCACTATCACCATTGTAAATGTACTTATTTGGTCTTGAAACCCCCTGGAAAATAGCAGAACAATGAGTTTTGTAAGAGGGAACAAGGATTTCAGGTTATTTTATTTTATTTTAATTTTATTTTTGAAGGGTTAGATTACAGGGTACCTCCTTTTGTTGGAACATTCTGTTTATAGGAGAAAAAAACAAAACCTGGCCTGTTTTAGGATCTATGTGTTTCCTTAAAGTCTTAGTTTAATCATGTCACATTTAGCACAAGTGACTCCATTTTGGTTTGGTCTGGTCTGTTGGGGCTTAGTGCATTTGGCCTTTCATTAAAGTCCAAAACAATGGCCTGCCATGATTTTGTTTAAAAATGTCCCCTTTTTGGTCACGTTCTCACTTAGGTGAGAACGTGACCAAAGCTTAGGGCCTTAGCGCCACTCTCAGTTACCATCATTTTGGGTTTCCAGTCTCGACACATCATTCATAGGTTAAAGTGCCCTCATGGTCACACATTTCTTTCAATCTTGTCATTCTAGTTGAAGAGAGACAATTTGACATTCTAGAGATGGCTGCATGCAAACATTTAAAACTTTCGAGAGAATACAGTGCACCAGATAGACTACTATTATGACTATCAGGAGGATAATACCAAGAGTTTGGAGTATGCTCCTTACACAGGGTCTCCATAAACCAAACCACCCAAAATTAAATAGATCAAAGAATGAGCTAAATAAAGAGTTTACTCATTTAAGCAGTCTCTTCATTAATTACCTACAACTGAATCTCTGTAATACCTGACGTGATGTATTTCTCCATAGGCCACAAGTGCCAGCAGCTGCACAGATACTTCTCTGTTTAGCCAGTAAGTAATCTACAGCAATCCTACTATTAAGCATAACTTTCACAAAAGAATGTAAAATCTGTTGTGTAACCATAGCCCTTACAGTAGACTCTGTTTAGAGCCTCTCATGAGGGATACATTTCTAATCATTGCCTGTTTTACTCCAAATCATGGTAAAAAGAACCTAAGGAACAATGCCCTTCTAGAAGACTGAAGGCCTCCTGGCAATGTTCTCTTTAACCCATGATGTGGAATAGGGGAGTGAATCAATGTTCTGTTTCTGACTGATTATGAGGCAACCTATGTACCATTAAAATTTCTCACCTACACTGGGCCTTCATCTTTCATCTATCAAGGTGTGAGGTTATCCATGTATAAGGCTGGCTGCAAAACCCTTCACCAATAAAAGTATACCTACCCCATGAGTGCACACAACAGACCCCCTTTTCACTTCTACTGTTCATAGAGGCATAAGCAAGGGAAAAAGTACTCAAAGATAAGAGCCTCCATATAGCAGAGAAGTCTTGATCTGTGATCTTGGTAAAAGCTGTTCACATCAAGGATACCATCTTCTTCTAGGGAGAAACTTCCCTGGTTAGCTTTACCTTACGGGTTCCAATGGGTGTATATTTCCAAGAATGTGGAGGGATCCTTCTCAGTTGTGAGATTATGAAGCCAAGGTTCATGGTTCTGATGTTTGCTGCAGTGTGGATGGCAAGGGCAGTCTTTCTCTGATGTTCTCAGAAGATCCAATCTTCAGGTTCTAGATTGTGAAGGGGTTGATTGTCCTCAGTCAGTGAACCATAAAAAGCTTTCTTTACCTGGTGAAAATACACTGTGAAATAATAATCTACTGTTATAACATCAGTTCACTTGTATAGGAAAGCTTTTACACAACCAGAAAACATGCATTGAAAATGACAATTGACTGAAATCTCTTCATAAATGTTTAAATGGCTCATGAGATAGCAGAATGTACCTGAAGCTTTGATTGTCTTCCCAGGAATATGGGTTTGGCAAACCAAACATTGGTCATAAACTATTTTAGCAATTTAGAAGTCACCACACCAATATGCATTTAACTTGGATCATTTTATCTTTTCCATGATGAGTCATGGAATGCAGAACTTTAAATTATAAAAGCTTTAAAAGCTCAGGAAGGATAAGGCAGCCACCTTGGTTCTCCATGAGTCCATGCTTGACACGGTTGTTTCTCCAATTGAGGTGCATAGCACTGATAACTGATGGGTTATCATAGGTAATTTGAGTTAGACCACAGAGTTTATTCAAATTGTATATCTAAACAATTTCAGTATTGGGTGATTTAGCATGAAAGACTTGCAAAGTATTTTCTTGGTATTCAATTAATTTGTGTTCTACTTGGGATGGCAGTTTTATAAACCAGTCAGTCTTTTAAGCTCCAGGAAGCAGGAGAATGGCGTGAACCTGGGAGGCGGAGCTTGCAGTGAGCCAAGATCGTGCCACTGCACTCCAGCCTGGGTGACAGAGTGAGACTCCGTCTCAAAAAAAAAAAAAAAAGCTCCAGGAATTCTTACCCAGTAAAAATGATATGATTCTAAAGTTATCAGAAACCTGTAATCAAGAATACTTTTTGGGGTCCTTTCCATCCTTTCAGGAACCTCCTAAAAGACACCATATTCTAGAATTGTGCCTACTTGTGAAGTTTTCAGAAATTGCACCAGCATTAAGCAATTAACTGTGGAAATGACCTTCCTTCCTTCCCTCCTTCCTTCCTTCCTTCCTTCCACTCTCTCTCTCTCTTTCTTTCTTTCCTTTATTTTGAGACAGAGTATCACTCTGTCACCCATGTTGGAGTGCAGTGGTGCAATCTCGGCTCACTGCAACTCCGCCTTCCAGGCTCAAGCAATTCTCATGCCTCAGACTCTCCAGTAGCTGGAACTGCAGGTGTGCAGCACTGCACCAGGCTAATTTTTGTATTTTTAGTAGAGACTGGGTTTCACCCTGTTGGCCATCCCCAAAAGGATATTTAGCCTTAGATTTTGAGAGGGATCTATCTGCTTTTGATTCCTGGTGTTTCAGGAGGAAAACCGAGTTATATCCCAAAGCAGGATCGTAGTGCCTCCTCTGTTTTTCCCAAGGAGTCCCAGGCTGTTAGAAGTTACCTTAGGTCCTCTCATGTGTGCAACAAAAGTGGCAAGAAGACAAAATGGAGAAAAACAATTCAGTTGGCTAAAAAGAAAAAAATAATTAAAAAAAAACAAAGATCCAAGAAGAGAAAAAACCAAAAGGCCCTTTAAATATACCTATAGCTTGGATATCCACTTTTAATTAAGCTGACTTTTAACTATAGCACTCTTTCTAAAAAAAAAAAAAAATTATTTGATTGTTTTTAGAGACGGAGTCTTGCTCTCTTGCCCAGGCTGGAGTGCAGTGGTTCAATCTCAGCTCACTGCAACCTCCGCCTCCCAGGTTAAAGCGATTATCCTGCCTCAGCCTCCTGAATAGGTGGGACTACCAGTGCGAGCCACCACATCCAGCTAATTTTTGTATTTTTAGTAGAGACAGGGTTTCTCCATGTTGGTCAGGCTGGTCTCAAACTCCTGACTTCAGGTGATCCATCCTCCTTGGCCTCCCAAAGCGCTGGGATTGCAGGCATGGACCACTGCGCCCAGCCTAAAATAATCATTTTAAATCTCTTATTACTTGACTTTAGCCAGGCCAAACAGCCAATATGTCTGGCTTTTGAACTTTACCAAAGGTAATCTCCCAGGTGAAACCAATAAGCTTTAACAAGGTTATGACTTAACCACAAGTGTACGAAGTATTTTCAAAAAGGTAGCAAGCAATTTTTACAAACTCTAGGATTTCCAAACGTAGCTCAGAGAAAGGAAAATTCAAGACGAGAGTCAGAAGTTGTTCATGAGGGGAAGAGAATCAGCAAATAGCAAAGATCAGAAAGATATCAAACCAAACAGGTCTCATTCCCTGAGCTGGAATTGAACCCTGCCTGGCTGCCATCATAAGATGGCAAAGCTTAGCCACTAAGCTACACCGTTGGTGGTTTCCATTGTTCCTCCCAGAAGGAGGAGCCTAAGAGCAGCCAATTTTCAGCTTGCAAAGGCTTTTAACTGCTCAAGATAATTTTTAGAGCTAACTATGACATGAACTCCAAAATTCCTGTCCTCCAGAGGGTGGAGACCAAAAGAAAGTACCATCATGTGATTATAAGGTCAAGCTCCCAATGACATAAAACAAGATGACAGGGAAACCTTATCCAGTGTTTTTTTGTTTCAGGGACCCGCAGTTTGTAACTGACCAGTTTGCCAGGCTGGCTTGAACAGCAGACTTCTGGGAGTCCTAGGCCCACATTTTATCCTATTTAACCCCTTTTATGACCAAATGACACAGAAAGACCAATTCATAGCACAAAGTACACCAGGTTTGCTACAGCTTAAGATTGGCTCACAAATACCTTTTTTTTTTTTTTTTTTTTTTTTTTTGAGACGGAGTCTCGCTGTCGCCCAGGCTGGAGTACAGTGGCGCGATCTCGGCTCACTGCAAGTTCCACCTCCCGGGTTCACGCCATTCTCCTGCCTCAGCCTCCCGAGTAGCTGGGACTACAGGCGCCCGCCACCTCGCCCGGCTAATTTTTTGTATTTTTAGTAGAGACTGGGTTTCACTGTGTTAGCCAGGTTGGTCTTGATCTCCTGACCTCGTGATCCACCCGCCTCGGCCACCCAAAGTGCTGGGATTACAGGCGTGAGCCACCGCACCCAGCCTCACAAATCCTTTTTATCATTAATTAAAACTTTGCAGAGGAGACAGTGATTTTTACTACTCCTACAACCGTTTCCACACAGAGAGAGGCCAGAAGCCTGACTGCTAAGAAATTCTTACCCTTTTGCCAGCATGCCAGGCTTCTGGGTTCCCTCTTTCTGAGTGGCCCTAGCGACCCTGTTAGCTGCACATAGCCTGGGGGCCAAGCCACAACACAAAGGAAAATCATCTTTTCTGATTTCAGGGAACCATAGGCAAAAGCCTCTCAATTTTGTAAGATGCTGCCCAAGAGATTGCATGAGGGAACTGAATTAACATTTTCCCTTCCAGCCACAGCAAAATACATGTGACAAAACATAGACATTAGCCACTCTGCTTAGTGCCCAATATTGAACTGGTAAGGCTTAAACTTGCCCCTGGTGGGGCTCTGCTATCTTTAATCTATTCAAAGTGGGGTGGAATGGCCTCCAGCCAGAAGTTTCAACATGTGATCTCTAGACAAGATATAATAGAAAGCTGGAAAAAGGAGGCCGGGCATGGTGGCTCACGCCTGTAATCCCAGCACTTTGGGAGGCCGAGGTGGGCAGATCACGAGGTCAGGAGATAGAGACCATTCTGGCTAAGACGGTGAAACTCCGTCTCTACTAAAAATACAAAAAAAAAAAAAATTAGCCAGGCGTGGTGGCGGGCGCCTGTGGTCCCAGCTACTCCGGAGGCTGAGGCAGGAGAATGGCATGACCCTCGGAGGCAGAGCTTGCAGTGAGCCGAGATCGCACCACTGCACTCCAGGCTGGGTGACATAGCAAGACTCTGTTTCAAAAAAAAAAAAAAAAAGAAAGAAAGATAGAAAAAGGAAAGAAGAGAAAGAGAGAAAGAAAAGCATTGTCTGCAGCAGGGTGGGGAAGGCAAAGAGTTCAGGGAGGACAGAGAAGGACCCACCTATTGCAGTGACACTAAATTAAAAGTTCAGGGCCAGGTGCGGTGGCTCATGCCTTTAATCACAGCACTTTGGGAGGCCAAGGTGGGCGGATCACCTGAAGTCAGGAGTTCGAGACCAGCCTGACCAACATGGTGAAACCCTGTCTCTACTAAACACAAAAAATTAGCCAGGCATGGTGGTGGGCGCCCGTAATCCCAGCTACTCGGGAGGCTGAAGCAGAAGAATCACTTGAACCCAGGAGGCGGAGGTTGCAGTGAGCTGAGATTGTGCCACCGCACTCCAGCCTGGGAGACAGAGTGAGACTCCGTTTCAAAAAAAAAAAAAGTTCAGGCAGCTGCTTGTCAGTCATGAAGGATCTTTTCCAGCCGTCTCATCAGCTCTCAAGTTTCCTGCTTTGGGGAGAAAAAAGTTCCCCATGTCCCATGATCCTGTACATGCCTAATCCTGTCACACACAGCCATCAGCAAAAAGCGCAAGGCAGATTTAATTTTTTAAATCAATTAGTTGTTTAAGCTTTTTAATTCTTTTTTGTAAAGTCTTTAAATGCAAATATTGAAATTTTTTAGAAGCTTCTGCATATCAATAGGCATCCCTACATGAGACTGTACATGAGACTAATCTGGGAGCCCTCATTTTCAAATGCACTTCAGTGCAGTGTTGTTCTTTTGGAATGTTCTACTGCAAGTTATCTTTAGTAAAAAAAAAAAAAAATTTTTATTTGAGACACAGTCTCTGTCACCCAGGCTGGAGTGCAGTATTATGATCTCAGCTCATGGCAGCCTCCACCTCCTGGGTTCAAGTGATTCTTGTGCCTCAGCCTCCCGAGTAGCTGGAATTACAGGCACATGCCACCATGCCTGGCTAATTTTTTTTTTTAATTTTTAGTACAGACAGGGTTTCACAGTGTTGGCCAGCCTGGTCTCAAACTCCTAGCCTCAAGCAATCTACCCACCTTGGCCTCCCAAAGTGCTGGGATTACAGGTGTGAGCCACCACGCCTGGACAATTTCTGTAAGGCGTTGCTCCTTCCAGGGCCTAATACTTATGCATGTATAATCCAGAAGGAACTCAGTTCTTCAGAAATTCAGTATCACATTTTTTACCTCAAATACTGGCTTTGCTCTCAGGTCCCTTGTTCAACTTAGCCAATGATTTTTTTTCCTACCTAAGTGCACAAGAAAAATAAAGGAGTAGAACATAAAAATCTCTGTGAATTTCCAAAAGCCAAATTTTACACCTTTGCAATATTGCCATTTAATACTGGTTTCTTTCTGATCCAGTTAGATGTAAGAGGTCTCTAACCGGATCCAAGCCAGTTAATTACTGGAGCCAATCCGATCCTGGACTCAGTTCAATTTCTTTCGCGACTTTCAAATCCAATCAGGATCAGAAATTTACTCAAAGAAACTCAGAGAGCTCAACACACAAATCTGTGGAGCTTCGGAATCTGCAAGAGAACTTACCACGATCCCCAGCTGCTCCGAGAGAGAAAGAGACACAATGGGCCTGGAGGGTACCTCACTAGGTCACTCAGCACTTCTGGGGGTCATTAGAAGCTCTACTTCCAACCCCACTTCTGACACCACCTGATAAAAGAAAAACTTCAGCCGAATAAATTTTAAATGAGGTTAATTGCGCAATAAACAATTCACAAATCGGGCAGCCTCCCAAGCCAGAGTATGCTCAAAGTCTCCAGCACAGCTGCGTGGTGGAAGAAAGTTTATGGACAGAAAAAGAAAAGTAACATACAGAAAACAGAAGTGAGGTACAGAAACAGCCAGATTGGTTACAGCTCAATGTTTGCCTAACTTGAACACAGTTCAAACAGTTAGCTACATATGATTGGCCAAAACTCAGTGATTGGCACAAGTGTAGGCTATGGTCTGTTTACACCTCCACTTGTTATAGTTCATGATGTACAGAGAAACCTTTAGGCCAAACTTAAAATATGTAAGGAGGCAACTTTAGGCTAAACTTGATTTAACAGAGGAAATTATTTTACATATTGGGGAACGGACCACAGAAGTAAAGTAACTCACCCAAGTCACACAACTCCTGGTAGAAACAAAATTGCATAGTCCCCCTACCCCATTCCCATAGGATCTCAGAACCCCTACAGGACCAGACATAAAAAATACTGATATAGCCACAGAGAAAGGCAGGGAAGTAGGGAGATGAAATAAAAATCTTTCAGGGAAAAAAATAATGAAGGACATGAAAAGACCTCCAGAGTAAGTCTTAGTGCTATTTATAGACTTCAAGTTATGTTCTTACTTTTAGAATAAAAATGGTACCTTATATAATTTTATCAAAACACTTTCATTTTAAGTCATAGTAAATTTAAAAATGTTGTCATGCACATAACATTCACAAAATGTTCTTGTTGAATGTATATTTTCAAGTGTAGTTCTACCTGGAAATAAAAGTTGTTGCATTTGAAACACCTATGGGATAGTATCTTAGCTTTACCTGATGTATAAGACGCAGCAAAAGGTTGACAACAAAAAAGTCTATTACTATTACAGTAAAAGAATAAAGATGAGAGAGCATGGAGTCCAGCCTGGAAGAGGAAGTGAGGCGAAATGACACTGCATGGTTGTTGGTCCTAAGCAAGGATTTCCCCTCCAAGCCCAACACGGGGAAAATCTCCTTGGATGCGTCAAGTGACGGCAAGTTCAGTGTCACACACGGATGTTGAGGGTCCTCCACTGAGTTTATGGGCTAGAGAATTACTCACCTACAGAAACGAAGCCCAAAGAAAAAACAGATGAAAAACATGATATACAAGCTGTGCTACAGAGATGTCGTTTGTTCACCTTAGGTTACTTTGTTTTTATTATACTCACAAAGCCTAAAACTAAAGGTCCGTGCATTTTAAAGCAAATTCCACCTTCAAATGTTAATTTTCATTCTGTTAAATAAACACTCATTGTGAATTTTCACTCTTTAGGCACTAAGGATGTAACTCAGAAGACCTGGGCCTTGTCCTCAAGCTGCTTGAAATCCAAAATCCAAAGAGACAAAGAAAAGAAGATTGCTACATGTGTATTTTATTTTGTGTTTTTTAATCTTTTATTTCCATAGGTTATTTTGATCACCACTGAGTACCATAAGATATACACTGGAGCCACTCAGGAGCATAAAGAGGGCATTTTTGAAAAATGAGATTTAGGAAAGGTTCCTAGGGATAGTGTTTACCTGAGGTTAGCAAAACAGAGAAAGGGGAAATGACATGTCCAGCAGGAGAAGCAGGCTCAGGAGCAGAGAGGCATGAAGTTGCAAGGAGAACTGCAGTTCTTCAGTGTGACTGAAGCCAGGGGAGATGTGCGCCGGGCGGCACTGTAACCTGCCTTGTGTGCTGATGGCAGGTGTTTGCATTTTATCCCACAGGACATAGGAAGTTGTGAAGCATCTTAAGCAGGACAGTAACATGATGAGATTTGTGTTTGGAGGGGGCAGCAGTAGGGAGGATGGGTTGGAGGAGGCTGGTTTGAAAGCAAGACCAATAGGACTCTTCAGCCATCAGATGGGAAGTCATGAGGGTGTAGGCAGGGGCAGGAACATGGGGTGAGGCGGACAGCGGATGGGTTTGAATGGCAATAATGAAACGAAAAGCCACAGGAATCACTAAATCATGTGCCGGAAGTAGGGATATGAAGGAGTCCAGAATACCCAACGTGGAGAACTGGGGCATCAGTGACTGCAAAGGTAATGAAAAATGAAATAATCGAGAGAAGGTAAGATGTTCTGTTTGGAACATGCTTAGTTTGAATTTCTGTGGGAACAAATGGAGTTAATCTGAGGATAGTGAGCTAAATGGTTGGGTCCCAGGGTACACTAGGTTAGTGACACAGACTGGAAGGAAGCTCATTATAAGTGAAGTTCTAAATTTGGATCAGGTCACTCAAGAAAAGTACATAAAGTCAGAATAGCAAGGGTCTGAGTGTGTGCTCCTGCATCCAGACAAACACAGACATGAAAAAAGAGGCTGAAAAGGAGAAGACTAGAAAGTAGGAGGAAAACAAAGAGGAAGTGGGTTCATAAAAGACAACAGACAGGAGAAAACATCCAGGAAAGAGGAGCGGACGCATCACAAACACACTCATGACACACAAGAGATAGAGACAGAGAAGTGATCACTGGTTTGGGTTGTATAAAGGTCACCCTGAGAGCAGCATCAGAGACATGGGGAAGAAAAAGGGAGAATGCAGTGGGTTGAAGACTGAATGAAATGAGAGAGAGTCACTAACGGGCTGGGTGTGGTGCCCCACACCTGTAATCTTAGTGCTGTGAGAGGCTGAACAGGAGGATCACTTGAGGCCAGGAGTTTGAGACCAGCCTAGGAAATACAGTGAGACTCCATCTCTAAGGGGAAAAAAAAAAAAAATATATATATATATATATATATATATATATATATAATTATCCAGGTGTAGTGACAGACACCTGTAGTCCCAGTTACCCAGGAGGCTGAGGTGTGAGGATCCCTTGAGCCTGGGAGTTCAAGGTTGCAGTGAACTGTGATCACGTGATTGCACTCCAGCCTGGGCAACAGAGCAGGACCCTGTCGAGAGAGAGAGAGGAGAGAGAGAGAGAAAAGAAGAAGAAGAAAAAGAAGAAGAAGAGGAGGAGGGGGAGGGAGAAAAGGAAGGAAGGAAGGAAGGAAGGAAAAAAACCCACATTGCAGACTCCTATTTGAGGAAGCTGACCTCTACAATCTACGAGAGAATCTCCAGAGGAGGTTGCCAAGCCCTGGCTCTTCTCTCTTCAGCGAGAGGACGTGGGGGAAAGGAGACATTTATGAATCTCTTTGAGTCTCAGTCTTTTCATTTCTAAAATTGTGTTAATAAAAGCCTTTCTGAAAATGGTGTTGTGAGGAAGGACATGAGGTTTGGCACTTAGGGGGTGTTCAGTAAATGGTGGTTATTATTGTTAGAATGAGAGAAAGCAAAAGAGAGCCTCAGGCAAAACAGTAAAGAACAGAGAAAACAGAACAGGAAAGAAAACAGCATCTGTGGGCTCCAGAAGCGCCCAGAGCCCCCACCCTCCCTCGCCCACCTGCGCACTCACCCCTGATGGCCCAGGTTCCGAGAGGCTAAGCAGGGCAGCCAGGGCCATGGCTCACAGGAGGATCCTGGCTCTGCGCTGGCTCCTTCAGTCTTCAGGGTGTATTGCAATGGCCACTGTGCGCCAGACCCCAAGGAGAAAATGAGGCGGCGCAGGGACGGAGGAGCTCCGAATCCAGCACTCCTTTCCCTACCCCTGTCCAGGGAGAAAGGCTGGAGATGAAACAGCCTGATGGGGCTCAACCAACCAGAATACATCAGAAGGGACGCCTCTGTGGCTGGGGAAGGAAGATGCTAGAGCTGCTGGGAGGAAGTGGGAGAATTGTCAGGCACCAGCATGGCCCAGGAAGCCCCTGACTACTGCAGAGTGTAGGGGTAAGTGAAGAAAACGAAAATTAGGACATCATAATCACCTTCTTCTTAATGAGGAAATACATTACGCAAGTTGGGATTTTTTATTTGTAGTTACTTCTGTGAATGGATGATATTTCTTCACAATTTTACATTGATTCTTTGCATCATAAAGGAATTAATTTGTTACCATTTGATATTATATTGACTCTTTTATAGCTATGATAATTTTGGAGAAAATCTTTGATGTTTTCAAACATATAAGGAGAAGGAAATAATATTTAATTATTTAATTAGTAATTATTATTTTATTTCTTCTTCATATAAAAATGTGGTGAGGCTGGGCGCACAGCTGAATGAAATTTAAAAGAGTCAGCTGGGCATGGTGGCTCATGCCTGTAATCCCAGCACTTTGGGAGGCTGAGGCGGGTGGATCATCTGAGGTCAGTAGTTAGAGACCAGCCTGGCCAACATGGTGAAACCCCATCTCTACTAAAAATACAAAAATTAGCTGGGCATGGTGGCACGTGCCTGTAATCCCAGATACTCGAGGGGCTGAGGCAGGAGAATTACTTGAACCCAGGAGGTGGAGGTTGCAGTGAGCCGAGATCACACCATTGCAGTCCAGCCTGGGCAACAAGAGCAAAACTCCGTCTCAAAAAAAAAAAAAAAAAAAAGAATGTGGTGATACAAAGAACCCCACTTTAAATTTTATGTTTAAGAACAATTTCTTTTTCTCCTTTATTTTCTGTGTGTGTGTGTGTGTGTGTGTGTGTGTGTGTGTGTGAGAGAGAGAGAGAGAGAGAGAGAGAGAAAGACAGACAGGGTCTCATTCTGTTAACCAGGCTGGAGTGCAGTAGTACGATCTCAGTTCACCATAGCCTGCACCTCCTGGGCTCAAACAATGCTGCCACTCAGCCTGCCCAGTAGCTGGCACCACAGGCACATGCCACCATGTGCCTGCATGTTAATTCATGTACTTCCTCTTTCCCAAGTTCTCTAGTTTATAGCATGTCCTTTCCTGAGGAACATAAATCACATGTTATTGTCTGCCTTTCATCCTGAGAGGAAGGAGATAATCACATGGCCATTTTATGCTTGAAGGATTTGGTGATCACTGGGTCCAATGAAGAGCCTCAGGATGAGTCAGTGTGGTTTTACCCAGGCATGGAGAAATTAACTTCTTGATGATGATCAAGTCTTCTTATTAAATAGGAGTGCAACTGATAGAGGATCTTCTTACATTTGCTTTATTTCATGGTGCTGCCCAAATTCATGCTGTACCCTCAGCAGCAAGGAGTGGGACCATTACTCCTGGCGTTCCCAGATGGAACAGACACCAAGCCTGGCTTTGCCACTGAACACAATACAGGACTGATAAAGGTCAGTTCTTAGGAATATGCTTCCCAAATGTAGAAATCAACATAAGATCCCAATTTTAAATAATAGGTATAATAGCATAATATATTATTTTATTTTATTTATTTAGAGATGGAGTCTCACTCTATCACCCAGGCTGAAATGCAATGGCATGATCTCAGCTTACTACAACCTCTGCCTCCAGGGTTCAGGCGATCCTCCCATCTCAGTCTCTAGAGTACCTGAGAGCTAATTTTTTGTTTTTGGTAGAGATGAGGTTTTACCATGTTGGCCAGGCTGGTCTTGGACTCCTGAGCTCAAGTAATCCACCCACCTCAGCCTCCCAAAATGCTGGGATTGCAGAAGTGAGCCACCATGCCCAGCCGCATAATACATTATCGTTCTCTTTATATATAATTTGTACTAAGTTATAGATACACACTTATTCCATAACTCTATGTTCACCAGATCACCTCTTGCAGGTTGTACAGTGAAAACACATCCTTAGTTTCAAAAGATGTGTGTATACCAGATTTTTCAGACATAGGCTTGGTTTTAGAATACAGTTTACTATGATTTTTGTAATTCATCTTAATTGATGTTTAATACCGAGAGAGAAGTCATATTGTCTCCAGTCATTTCATGTTATGATGTGCCACTAAGTCCAAATTTTATATAATAGTAATCAGGAGGCTGGGCACAGTGGCTCACGCCTGTAATCCCAGCACTTTGGGAGGCCAAGGCAGGCAGATCACCTGAGGTCGGGAGTTCAAGACCAGCCTGACCAATATGGTGAAATCCTGTCTCTACTAAAAATACAAAAATTAGCTGGGTGTGGTGGTGCGCGCCTGTAATCCCAACTACTTGGGAGGCTGAGGCAGGAGAATCGCTTGAACCCAGGAGGCGGAGGTTGCAGTGAGCTGAGACCACACCATTGCAGTCCAGCCTGGGCAACAAGAGCGAAACTCCATCCCCCACTCCCAAAAAAAAAAAAAAGTTATCAGGAAAACTTATAGTTGCTACAATATTATTAGATTAATACGAATTTTCAAAAATGGCAGAGCCTTAACCAAGCTTAAAGAGTTTTTCTTTCTTAACTGAACTTCTTGGATGTGACTACATGAAATTTTGATGAAATATGGTCATAAATTATGATGACAAGTTAGTTTTGGGGGATTTTATATATTACCAGATACCAATGCCAGAGGAAGAGCTATGTTAGGGGTCCTCAGAGCCACCCCAGGTGAGATGATGCCCTAGGAGGACTCACAGGGCTCATCATATGGTCCTACTCAGGGCTCTGATTCATTACAGTAAAAGGATGCAAAGCAAACTCAGCAGAGGGAAAGGCACACGGGGCAAAGCCTGAGAGAAACCAGGCTCAGGCTTCCAAGGATCCTGTCCCCCTGGAGCCACACAGGACACACTTAATTCCTCCCACAAGGAGCTGGGATGCCATGTGTAAAATATCGTCTACCAGGAAGTTCGTAACAGACCAGCACTAGGGCCTTTGGGGGCTTTGGGGGCCTTTGGGGGCCTTTGGGGGCTGAAGAAGTCAGACTTCTTCAGAGAAACAGAATTTATTGGATATATATAGGTAGATAGATGAGTGGGGATTTATGCTGGGGATTCACTCCCTCAACTATGGAGGCTGAGGAGTTCCACGTTAGGCCTTCTGCAAGCTGCTGAGACAGGGGAGCCTGTAGCATGGCTCAGTCCAAGTCTGAAGGGCTGAGAACCGGGGGAGCTGGTGGAGTAACTCTGAGTCCAAGACCAAAAACCTGGGGGGCTGCTGGTGCAAGTCCCTGAGTGTGAAGGCCAGAGAACCTGGAGATCTGATGTCCAAGGGGAGGAGAATATAGGACTCCCTACTCCAAAACAGAGAGAGAGTGAATTCACCTTTTTTCTGCCTTTTTGTTCTAGCCAGGCCTTCAGCCGACTGAATGGTGCAGTGAGCTGAAATCACACCACTGCACTCCAGCCTGGGCAACAGAGTGAGACTCTGTCTCCAAAAAAAAAGAAAAAGAAAGTCATATATTGGTACAGAAGATACTCTTAAATCCTACTTTTCTGGAAATGTTGGTTATTATAGAAGATATAGGACTAAATTCATTTTAAAATTTTTATTTTGAAATTATTATTACAAATGTTTTATGAATCATATTAGCATATAGGCAAGTTTTGGAAAGCCAAAGTTACAAACCAGGGATTCAGATGAGTGTTCTGTGAAATTTTTAATTTTTGCAGAACACCATGAGAAATTACACATTTTCTATTCTATATTTCTTGTAGGAAATAGAGGCTGCCCATCTCTCAGTGCCACATATGAGAAAGGGAAGTTGTCATTTTATATATCCACTGTCAAGCATCTTGGTAAAACAGAAGAAAGCAGGCTGGGCCTGGTGGCTCATGCCTATAATCGCAGCACTTTGGGAGGCCAAGGAGGGCAGATAGCTTGACCAGCATGGGCAACATGGCAAAATCCTGTCTCTACAAAAAAATAAAAAAAAACAAAAAATAAATGTAGTCCCAGGTACTGAGGAAGCTGAGGCAGGAGGAACACTTGAGCCTGGGAGGTAAAGGCTTCAGTGAGCCGTGATAATGCCACTGCACTCCAGCCTAGACAACAGAGTGAGACCCTGTCTCAAGAAAAAGAAAAACAAGAGGGAGGCAATCTACTTTATACCCAGAGAATTTTACATGCAAGGAATTTGACTATGAATAAGCCTCCATTGCTTAAGAGAGACTTCACTATTTGGGATTTTAAGAAAGAAATACACAAACAAGCAAATCTCATCAGCAGAGGACTGAGAAACCAGTGTTTATAATACCCAGTGATTAATGTAATATTGTCTTCAGTCATCATTAAAAGGGACTTAGTTTAAAAGTCATTTCGATTGATCGCCGACTCAGAGTCCTCAACATTTCACCTTTTGCTTTATGAAAAGAACTAGTAGATTAATTTAGAGTTTGACAAGGAGAAGCAGGTCTCCCTTGATTTTCTGTTTGGCCAAGAATTTATCCTAACATGGTACCATCAGAATACTGTCAGAAAGCTGTGAGTCAACTCAGATTTCTCACCATTGAGTCAAGCCGTGAAGCCAGCTGTCTTGGGGGTAAGGATTTCCATACAGAAACACTGTAAGTAAATAATTTAGCACTTGTTTCCTATTCCTTTTTATTGGATAACTACAGAGAATTAAAACTGTGGGTTGTTTTGAATTCACAAAAGAAATGTTTTAAAGCTTTCGAGGAAAAAGCCAGATTATCCATTGCAAAGCATCGAAATTCAAAATCATGTTAAGGCTATAGAGAAATAGGATCCTATCCCCACCTAGTGGCCAACACTGAAATCTGGGCTTAGAACAGGAAACAAGGGAATTTGTCAACAATTTGGGAATACTCCAGCATTCTTTACAAAAAAAAGTTAGAGAAAAAGTTAAGCACACAAAAAACACAAGTCAAAATAAATACGACCAAATACATAGGTTTTGGCAGCACATAGATTTCTGTGGTTTTGCTATGCTTTTAGCAGCGGCTGTAAAAAGCATTGCACACTAAGCATTGCTAGATTGCCAAACAAACCTAATTACATTTTTTGTTTGGTTTTTTGTTTTTTTCAAAACCTCCTAACCTCTGTGACCTAATTATGTTTTTAATGAGTTGATTGTAAAAACTAACATCAGCGAATACAAAATTTCAGTTAGACAGGAGGAATAAATTCAAGATATGTACTGTACAACATGGTGACTCTAGTTAATAACAATGTACTGTGTACTTGAATATTGCTAAGTGAATAATTTTAAGTGTTCTCACCCAACACAAAAAATATGTAAGGTAATGCACATATTAATTAGCTTGATTTAGCCATTAAACAATGTGTGTGTGTGTGTATATATATATATATATATATATAAACATCATATTGTATACCATAAACAGATTCAATTTTTGTCAATTAAACAAAGAATTAAATGAATACATATATTTTTGTTGCACAGATGTATGATTGATCAATAAAGATTCTAAAATATTTGTTAAAAGTTACAAACTGAGGGAAAGCCTTCGACATCGTATTTGCAAGAAAGAAAGTGTACATAGTTAGACAGTCCTAGTATCTGTAAAGTGGGTGTGATCATCGGAGGGCAATCCCTTGAGCAGTGCTGTCCTATACAATGTTCTGCTGTTAGGGAAATGTTCTGTATCTATCCAACCGAGCCGCCACTAGCCACAGGTGGCTCTTGAGCACTTAAAATGCTAGCAGCTGGTGAGACG
Source organism: Homo sapiens (assembly GCF_000001405.40). NCBI lineage: Eukaryota > Metazoa > Chordata > Mammalia > Primates > Hominidae > Homo > Homo sapiens. The sequence continues at coordinate 4,568,650 of NT_167246.2, forward strand.
AAGGGGCTGAAGTTTTCATTTAATTTCAAATTAAGGCAGAACCGCCTATAAGAGAAAGTGCTAAAGAATTGGAAAAATGAAAAAGAATTTGAGAACCCAGTGGGAATGGAGCTAAAGTGTATGGTCATGGCTCATTAGATTTGGGGATATCGGAATCCCAACAGCACAATGGGCTCATTAGAAAATTAACAAGGTTACAAAACAGGTTAAAGGAAGTATCAAAAATAGTCCAATTTTAGCAGATACAGAAGCTGCAAATTTAGCAGTAGTTTTGGCAAACCCTCAATTCATGTAATTTAACAGTGCTAGGGACCAAACCGAAGGGGAATGCCAAGACAAAAAGCTTATAAACGTTAAGAGCTCATTTCTCTTAGAACATACAGAAACAGGGCACTTCCACACCTTCGATTCATTCTCCAAGCTTAAAGAGCTTTGCCCTAAAACCAGATCCTCTCATACGATGGGACAAACAGCCCCAATGTTCTTCCCTCCAGATCTGTTCCAACCTGTGTCTGGAGACACTCTGCACTCACGTTAAAACAGTTTAGACAAAGGACAATGTTTAGGAATTCCAGAAACTTTGGGATATAACATCAATGGCAACTTTTAATTAGGAAAACCCAATCTAATAAGAAGGGCTATTTTGAATACCAGGGTATGTGGAGGGGAAAGTATGAAGGTGGAAGGTTATGAAACATTAATGGGAGATACAGAGAACCAAGAAAGCTTCTATGGTGATTTCTCCTGCCCCTGGGCATGTTATCTGAACTTACGATTGCAACTGTGGGAGCTGGAAAAGCTCTTAAGAACCTCTAGAATTCCACTTCCCCACAAAACAACGTAATATGAAATAGTGACAAATCCCTAGGAGAATATGTAAAATAACAATTATGATAACATTGTTGGAGAAATCTGAGATAAAGAGTAGGACTCTTTAACAACTCATTTTGGCCAGTCAAAAGGTAGGTGGAGCTTGGAAGTGAATTGTGAATTACACCGATATTAAGAAAAGCAGCTAATTCTGAAGTAGTATTAAGTGGCAGTGACTATTCTAATCACTTTAAATATTTAACTCAATTATGAAAAAAATGTGATTAGCACTGTACATGATATTATTTCCTTAGTAGAAGATCTTGCTAAATCAACCCTTGATTAGCATTCATGCATCAATCTGGCTGATGTATCCTTTTCAATCCCAATAAATTATATTCACCAACAGTCTGCCTTCACTTGGCAGCCCCAACCTTTACTAAGTTGCCAGAGTAAATTCTCCCACCTCCGAGGTACAATCCATTGAGCAAAATTTAAACAGCCTAAATCCAATTCAAGAATTAACATTGTTTTATTATCCTAATGACACATTAACCAGGAGTGACTTGAAAAAAGCTGGGTCCATGAGGAAACTTTTTGGGGTAATAGAAATATTATCTTCATTGTAGTAGTAGTTACACAATGAATATGTTTGTCAAACTCATAAACAACTGTACAGCTATGGTTTCACTGTATTTAAATTATATCTCAGTAAACCTGATTTTATTTATTTATTTATTTATTTATTTATTTATTTATTTATTTATTTTTGAGATGGAGTCTCACTCTGTTACCCAGGCTGGAGTGCAGTGGCGCAATCTTAGCTCACTGCAACCTCCCCCTCCCAGGTTCAAGCAATTCTCCTGCCTTAGCCCCAAGTAGCTGGGATTATAGATGCGCACCACCATATCCAGCTAATTTTTGTATTTTTAGTAGAGACGGGGTTTCACCATGCTGGCCAGGCTGGTCTCAAACTCCTGACCTCAGAAGATCCGCCCACCTCAGCCTCCCAAAGTGCTGGGATTACAAGTGTGAGCCACTGTGCCTGGCCTGAACCTGGTTTTTTTTAAAGCAACTGCATCAAAAACCTCTGTCTTCCATTATTAATTTTATGAGTTAAAAGGAACAGAGTATAAAAGAGCACAAATTTTGGTAAAATTTTGGGGAGAAAAATTCTGCCCAAGACCAGGTAAAAGCCTTTGTGCTTGAAAGCCCCCAACTTGAAAAAGAGGAACAGAAATTAATTGGCGTGTTTGAATTATGAAGACTGCATATCCCACATCTGTATTAAACTTGGGTCTCTTCATTGAATTATGTGGGTCCTTAAAAGAGCCTCAGAGCTGTGCTGTCTAATATGGTAGCACTAGCTAGCTACCTGTGGCCATTTAAATTAAATAAAATTAAAATTGAATTTCAAATTGAGTTTCTTAGTGCACTAGCCATGTTTCAAGTGCTCAATAGCCACATGTGAATAGTGGCCACCACATTAAATTGCATAAATGTAGAACATTTCCATCATCACAGAAAGTGCTCACAGACTTAGAGGCCAAACTGTCTTAGAGGCCAAACAGGTATATAGACCACTGGAGTTTAATGACTTAAGTATTGAATACAAAATTAGGTGGCATATGTCTCTGAAAATTCAATTGGCTGATATTTCTAACCATTAAAACCATCTTGAGATGGCCAGGTGCAGTGGCTAATGCCTGTAATCCCAGCATTTTGGGATGCTGAGGCGGGTGGATCACCTGAGGTCAGGAATTCGAGACCAGCCTGGCCAACGTGGCAAAACCCTGTCTCTACTAAAAACACAAAAAAATTAGCTGGGCATGTATCTGGGGAACCCACCCCCAATATTTCAATGCAGGTTCTTTCTATTTTCCCTAAGTGTCGGCCAGTCTGAGAAATAAAGAGAAAGAGTACAAAGAGAGGAATTTTACAGCTGGGCCGCCAGGAGTGACATCACATATCAGTAGGTCCATGATGTCCACCTGAGCCACAAAACCAGCAGCTTTTTATTAAGGACTTCAAAAGGGGAGGGGGTGTACAAACAGGGAGTAGGTCACAAAGATCACATGCTTCAAAGGGCAATAAAGATCACAAGGCAAAAGGCAAAGCAAAGATCACAAGGCAAAGGGCAAAATTAGAATTACTGATGAGGGTCTATGTTCAGCTGTGCACATATTGTCTTGATAAACATCTTAAACAATAGAAAACAGGGTTCGAGAGCAGAGAACCGGTCTGACCTCAAATTCACCAGGGTGGGGTTTTTCCCCACCCTAGTGAGCCTGAGGGTACTGCAGGAGACCAGGGCGTATTTCAGTCCTTATCTCAACCGCATAAGACAGACACTCCCAGAGCGGCTGTTTATAGACCTCCCCCCCAGGAATGCAATTATTCTCCCAGAGTATTAATTATCAATATTCCTTGCTAGGAAAAGAATTTAGCGATATCTCTCCTACTTGCACGTCTGTTTATAGGCTCTCTGCAAGAAGAAAAATATGGCTCTTTTAGCCCAACCCCACAGGCAGTCAGACCTTATGGTTGTCTTTCCTTGTTCCCTAAAATCGCTGTTATTCTGTTCATTTTCAAGGTGCACTGATTTCATATTGTTCAAACACACATGTTTTACAGTCAATTTGTACAATAGTGGCCCTGAGGTGACGTACATCCTCAGCTTGTGAAGATAACAGGATTAAGAGATTAAAGTAAGACAGGCATAAGAAATTATAAGAGTATTACTTGGGAACTGATAAATGTCCATGAAATCTTCACAATTTATGTTCAGAGATTGAAGTAAAGACAGGCGTAAGAAATTATAAGAGCATTATTAGGGAAGTGATAAATGTCCATATTAAAATGAAATCTTCATAATTTATGTTCCTCTGCCTCGGCTCCAGCTGGTCCCTCCATTTGGGGTCCCTGACTTCCCACAACAGGCATGGTGGCAGGCACCTGTAATCCTAGCTACTTGGGAGGCTGAGGCAGAAGAATGGCTTGAACCTGGGAGGCAGAGGTTGCAGTGAGCTGAGATTGTGCCACTGCACTCCAACCTGGGCGACAGAGAAAGACTCCATCTCAAAAAAATAAAATAAAATTAAATTAAATTAAAAAGTCTTGATCCACGTTGCAAATATCCTAGTGGTGTACTAACAAAGCCAGAGGCCTCCTCAGACAGCCAGACACCTCAGAGGCAGACATATATGCAGAGGTAACTAATGGTGGCCTCACGAGGAAAGGGGGCAGCTACTCCATGAGCACAAGCTCTAGATACTTAGCCTTCAAATACTTCAAAAAACAAAACAATCCCTCGGGGAGAGATTTCCGAGCAAAACAAAACAGCCCATTTGTTTTTAGACTCCTGCTATAATGCTTTGCCTAAAGGTATTGGCCAAGGCGGGTGGATCACTTGAGGTCAGGAGTTTGAGACCAGCCTGACCAACGTGGTGAAACTCCATCTCTACTAAAAATACAAAAATTAGCCAGGCATGGTGGCACATGCCTGTAATCCCAGCTACTCAGGAGGCTGAGGCAGGAGAATCGCTAGAACCTGGGGAGCGGAGGTTGCAGTGAGCTGAGATCCACTACTGCACTCCAGCCTGGGTGACAGAGCAAGACTACCTCTCAAAAAAAAAAAAAAAAGAAAAAACGAAAAAAAAGAGGGGTTGTCCTTATTTCCCCTTTCTCCTTCAGCTGACTGGAACACAAACATGAAAGCTGGAATTCAAGCAGTCATATTGGACCTGAGAGAGAAGAGCTATGTTGAGGCTGGTGGAAGAAAAAGATAGATAGAAGGAACCTGAGTCTCTGACACTTAAACACTACACCAGCCCTAGGGTTGCATGTGAGAGAGAAATGAACTTCTATCTTGGTGGAGACACTGTTGTTTTCAGGGTTTTCTGTTTCTCACAGCTGAAGCTAATCCTAACCAAGCAGAACAAGCACAAAGTCATCAAAACATAAACTGGAGTTTGCAAAGCACATGTCACTTCCAAGCATCAGATACAGTAAAATGATGAGATGTTTTTCCCAAGCCCTGGCTCAGGACCCTCCCTAACAGCTCCCCGACAAGCCCTTTGTCTTCTTAGTAATCATGCCTTGCATGGTGCCTTTTCCAACATCATGCCCCTCCGTGGAGCTCATTAGTAAGGAGCAAGTGAGATTCTTTTTATTTATCTAATCAGTGAATTCCAAAAACTGACAAACAGGATAAAGAAGGAATACCAGCCACTGTTATGAATGTCAATAAGACATTTGTTCAGTTCAGGACCATCTCAATTTCAGAAGGGACCTGCATAGATTTATTTGCAGTAATAAATCAATAACAATTCAGTGGCAATTATACTTCCCAGTTTCCCACACTGCATCTATAGCTTCCAGGTACAAGTCTTAGTATCTTCAAAGCATTTGCAATAGCCATAAAATGGCTCTTTCATGACAGCAAAGTGGTGGCAGGCATTTCTACAGCTAAGGGGTGCCGAACACGTCTCATGCGTCTTTTCTTTATTGGTGAATGTCATGTTTGACAGTGATGTAAATGGAACAGCTATTATGAAAAACGTGCTTATAGTTTAGCCAAAGAAAATATGTAAGGGTAACATTGTAGGAGGGTGGAGTGTAAACATATGAAGAGTCTGGAACCCTGATGGCATCATTAAATGCTCAAACCAATGCTGGAAGCTGTCATCCTCAGATTTCTTATGAGAAAAATGAATTCCTGTTTATTTTAGCCCCTGTTTTTTGGGTTGTCTGGGCCTGCACTTGCAAGCATTTCTGCTGGATGCAGCAGGTCCCAGGAGGCCCTTTCAGACCTAGGGCATTTGGTTGCCTTTCCCACTCTGTGCCTTTGCTTATTTCTTTTTTTTTTTTTTTTTTTTTTTTTTTTTTTTTGACAGAGTTTCACTCTTGTTGCCCAGGCTGGAGTGCAATGCCGTGATCTTGGCTCACCGCAACCTCTGCCTCCCAAGTTCAAGCGATTCTCCTGCCTCAGCCTCCTAAGTAGCTGGGATTACAGGCATGTGCCACCATGCCCGACTAATTTTGTATTTTTAGTAGAGATGGGGCTTCTCCATGTTGGTCAGGCTGGTCTCGAACTCCTAACCTCAGGTGATCCGCCCGCCTCAGCCTCTCAAAGTGCTGGTATTACAGGTGTGAGGCACCACACCCGGCCATCTTTGCTTATTTCCTTTTTTTTCTTTTTTTTTTTTTTTTTTTTTTTTTTTTTGAGACAGGGTCTCATTCTGTCTACCAGACTGGAGTGCAGTGGCATGATCTCGGTTCACTGCAACCTCTGCTTCCCTGGTTCAAGTGATTCTCCTGCCTCAGCCTCCCCAGTAGCTGGGATTACAGACACGTGCCACCACACCTGGCGAATTTTTTGTATTTTTAGTAGAGACAAGGTTACACCATGTTGAACAGGCTGATCTCGAACTCCTGACCTCAAGTGATCCACCTGCCTTGGTCTCCCAAAGTGCTGGGATTACAGGCATGAGCCACTGCGCCTGGCTGCTTATTTCTTACGGGATCTCTCCAGTTTAGAGCAGAGGTTCTCAACACAGCCTGCACTTTGGAATTGCCTGGGGAAATTTTACACAAGTCCCTTTGCTCACGCCCCAAATGGGTTGAATCCAGATCTCTAAGGGTGAGCACAGGTGGGCATGACTATTTTTAACAGTTCTTCTAGATTAGTGATTCCCAATTTTTTTAAATCTCAATTTGAAAAAAATCTCTCAATGTTTTAAGAGTATAAATCCCTTAAATTACTGAAAACACTGAAAAGCTTTACTTACGATATTGTTATTGATATTTACTGTATTCAAAATTAGAACTGAAAAAGATTTTTAACATGTATTAATTCTTTTTAAGATAGCAATAACAGGCAAGGCTCAGTGGGTCACGCCTGTAATTCCAACACTTTGGGAGGCCAAGATGAGCAGATTGCTTGAGCTCAGGAGTTGGAGACCAGCCTGGACAAGATGGCAAAACCCTGTCTCTACAAAAAATACAAAAATTAGCCGGGCATGGTGGCTGGCGCCTGTAGTCCCAGCTACTTGGGAGGCTGAGGCTGGAGCATCGCTTGAGCCTGGGAAGCGGATGTTGCTGCAGTGAGTTGAGATCGTGCCACTGTGCTCCAGCCTGGGCGACAGAGCGAGACCATCTCAAAAAAAAAAAAGCAATAATAAACCACTTTTGTATATGCTTAAATTTGTCCATAATAAAAGTAAACAAAAAGGACTTTAAATAAATTACGGAAAATGTAGATCTTTAAATAATTAGAAGACCATCAACTTTATTTGGATCATGAGTCAAACACACACACACACACACGCACACACACACACACACACACACACAAAACCTACAAAACAATCTTGGAAATCTGAACACTGACTGGATATTTGATGACAACAGGAATGATTATTAAAATTGTGGTAACAGAATTGTGATTACATTTTAAGAGTAAACCAGTAAAATCTTTAACAAAGACACAAGGAGGGCCCATGGATCCATTATGTACAGTAGCCACAGTGCCTAGGGCCCACAATACTCCCATGGCAATGTTTACATTTCTTTTAAAATAGAAAAAAAATTAAGGTTGAAGAAAATATTTTAATATATAATATTAATATACTTGCCTGTGTATCAACACAATCATAAGTATGATTTCAAATTTATTGTTTAGAAAAGTGCATAGGGCCCGCAGAAGTCACAATGCAGCCCTGGATATAACGGCCATGAAAGTTTATGTGCTGAATCACAAAGTGGCAAAATATGAACTGGCAGAGATGTCGGCCTCTGAGGTTAGAGAGGTCATGGCCACAGCTGCTGAATGTGACTTTGGGTTGCCCATCCAGGAGATTGGGTGGCAGGGAGAGCAAATGTGATCATGAAGGTGCTGGTTGTATCACGCTGGTCAAATGCATACAAAGGAGTCTGTTTAGACAGAAGCGAAGAAGGGAAAGCAAGCGGACACCTCCTGGGGGCCTCAGGATCCCACATTATCTGGAAACAGTGCCCCCAACACCCCTCCACCTCCACCAAAAGGCATCCTACATACCTCTTGGTTGGTACACTGGGCCCTCAGCCACAGAAAATTGGTTCTCAGGGACAGAGATAACCCAAGCTAAGCCAATCAGATTGTCTCTCCATGACTCTGAACCATGGAGCCCAGAGACACAGAGGTCAAGAGCAGCTCTGCTGAGCGGTGGGTATCCACACTCCAGGGACAAAGTCCATGAGCCCCTGAGGTTCCCAGAACTGCTCTCAGTCTTCCCTATTGAGTCAACTCTGTCTTCAAATCCTGAGAAACCCAATATTTTTACAATCAATTCCTTTTGGAGCTTAAGCTATTCTGAATCAGATTTTGCGATTTGTAACAAGAAAATAATAATAGTAAGTATAGAGTTTTAACAGCACTAAAATCAAAAGTGGAAAAGGGACAGCAGCATGCCCCAGACACCCGCGTGTCAGCAATAACCAAGACATGGAGATGGAACCAAGACAGCTTGTCAGGTCCCTCCCCTCACTTTCCATGGCAAAGGCTGTCACTAAAGGGGGAATTATTCCTTTACAGAGCAAGTATTATCCCACTTTGCAGGTGAAGAAACTGATGCTGAGGTTAAGTGTGCAACTCAGAAGCAAAGCATCCCTGACAAGCTAAGGGAAGGAGAAGTCTCAGTTGGAAATACAGAGAGGCCTGCTGCCAGCTAGAATCGGTACTACCTTTGGCCCTAAGTCTGCTCAACCCACCCAAAACTAGACCACCTGCCACTCAAACTCTTTTGTCTGAGTCCCTCTCTCCCCAGGGCCCCAATCAAACAGGGTGCTATTTCTCATCTTCTCCCTAACCCTAATGTCTCTGAAACATGTTTGTTGGGTTTGGGGTTTGTTTGTTTCTATAGATTTGCAGTTCTAAAAGTAAGGAAAACCTGCAGGTATTAATACAAATAACCACAACTGGAAAGGGATGGAATTATAAGAAATCTCTCCCAGCATTAGTAATACCGGTATGCCTTATTTCATGAGGAGAGCAGGCCGATTACCTGACCCAACAATATAGCCCAGGCCCGGGGGAGATGTGAACACAATGAGGAAGATATCTCTATGACCCACATTCTTTGGCCTGAGGCTCTGCCGGAGTCCAAGCCTGTTATAGGTGAAGTGGCCAAGACCTGGAACATGACCTTTACATGAGCTGCTGTACAGCCAGTGTGGCTTTTATCTGTTGTACTTTGGGAAATCATCCATGCCTCAGGAACCAAAAGTCCTTCAACCTAGAGTAAGGCGTTTTTAATAGAAAGAGAGGCCAGATAGGCCAGGCGCGGTGGCTTACGCCTGTAATCCCAGCACTTTGGGAGGCCGAGGCGGGTGGATCACGAGGTCAGGAGATCGAAACCATCCTGGCTAACACGGTGAAACCCCGTCTCTACTAAAAATAAAAAAAATTAGCCAGGCGTGGTGGCGGGCACCTGTAGTCCCAGCTTCTCAGGAATCTGAGGCAGGAGAATCGCTTGAACCCGGGAGGCGGAGGTTGCAGTGAGCCGAGATTGTGCCACTGCACTCCAGCCTGGGCGACACAGCGAGACTCCATCTCAAAAAAAAAAAAAAGAGAGGCCAGATAATCCCAGCACTTTAGGAGGCTGAGGCAGGGGGATCTCTTGAGCCCAGGAGTTTGAGACCAGCCTCGGCAACATGGAGAAACCACGTCTCTACTAAAAATACAAAAAATTAGCTGGGCATGGTGGCACTCGCCTGTAGTCCCAGCTACTCAGGAGGCTGAGGGGGAAGAATCACCTGAGCATAAGAAGTCAAGCCTATAGTGAGCCATGATTGCACCACTGCATGCTAGCCTAGGCAAGGGGAGTGAGACCCTATCTCAAAAACAAAAAACAAACAAAAAAAGAGAGGCCAGAGCGAAGTACACAAAATGGATTGACCTGCTCCTGCCAACTGAGGGAAAGCCAGACAGGGTGATATGCTGGCTCTCGCTGAAGCTGAGAGCTGTGTTCATTCTACCATCCTGGCCGTGTGGGGAAAGCCCTAAAGGAGAAGCCCATGTAGATATCCTTGGTCTTTATTCAAGGACTAGCAGGACAGGTCTTCCCTACTGAGATGGCAGTCTGCTGTCAGTGCCAGTTCCCATGAAACTACTCTGAAGATGAAAGAAAAGATAACAGAAGGCCAGTTATAAGCACTTAAGGTGACTTCTGCTTACTCTAGGTTTGAGTTGAGAAACATAGCTATGGCCTACACATGTACAGTCTGTGAACTGCACAGCTCGACAGAAAGAAGCTCCAGTGTGGCCCTGATGCTCCCTGCTGACCACACCACACTTGCAGGAAAATGGGCTAAACAACCACAAAACAAGGTGGCCACAAGCTACTACACAGAAACTTATTTCTGAGGCAGCTGGAGCCCTTTGTTTGTTTGTTTGTCTGTTTGTGATGGGGTATCTCTCTGTCACCCAGGCTGGAGTGCAGTGGCAAGAGCATAGCTCACTGCAACCTCAAACTCCTGGGCTCAAGTGATCCTCCTGCCTGAGTCTCCTGAGTAGCTGCAACTACAGGCACATGCCACCATGCCCAGCTAATTTTTAAATTTTTTTTTGTAGAGAAAAAGGGCCGTGCGTGATGGCTCATACCTGTAATCTCAGCACTTTGGGAGGCCGAGATGGGCAGATCTCTTGAGCCCAGGAGTTCTAGACCAGCCTGGGAAACAGGGCAAAATCCCATCTCTACAAAAAATACAAAAACTAGTGGTACATGCCTGGAGACCCAGCTACTCGGGAGGCTGAGGTGGGAGGATGGCTGGAACCCACGGAGGTCGAGGCTGCAGTGAACCATGATCTTGCCACTCCACTCCAGCCTGAGTGACAGAGACCCTGTCTCAAAGAAAGAGAGAAAGAGAGAGAGAGAAGGAGTTTTGCTTTGTTGCCCAGGCTGAGAGCCTTGTTTTGACTCACTCCCTCCTCTGTCTCATCTCCACCCCCACCTGCCCTGGTCCATTCAAAACTACAAACCTCAGCATGCAAGACAGCCAAGGGAGGGCAAGAACAGCTCTGTGTAGCCCATGGCCTTCTAGGATATGTGGTGCTCCCAGGTACAGTGATATAAGTGGTCTGTAAGTTATTTTTATTTTATTTCACAAGTTATTTTTTAACCATAAGTTACAGATGCTAAAAATATAAGCCCAAAGCTGAAAAGCAGCTCCAAGGGTGTGACAGGACAGAGGACCCACCCCACAGCCCTCCCTCTATACATGATCTCCCACGCGGTGGCTCACGCCTGTAACCCCAGCAGTTGGGAGACCGAGGCGGGAGGATCATGAGGTCAAGAGATCAAGACCATACTGGCCAACGTGAGGAAACCCCGTCTCTATTAAAAATACAAAAATTAGCCAGGCGTGGCAGTGCACACCTGTAGTCCCAGCTATCCGGGAGGCTGAGGCAGGAGAATTGCTTGAACCTGGGAGGCAGGGGCTGCAGTGAGCCGAGATGGCGCCACTGTACTCCAGCCTGGGTGACAGAGCGAGACTCTGTCTCAAAAAACAAAAAAAAACATGATCTCCCTGTGCGCCCCATCCCAAACCCTCCTCTCCTTCGCCACCATGCCAGCGCACAATTCCATCATATCCCTTGCCTTTTCAAACACCATCTATGACTCTTAGTTTTTGGGTTCAAGTTCAACTCCTTCCATAATCAGTCAATACTTTTCAGAATTTGGCCCCTCCAACAAGAGTTTATGTTCTGCCCCAATCAAACCCAAAGTAGTTCCCTAAAGCCTCTGCCTTTCTCTTCCCTATCTCCTCCCACCCCACCCAGAAGCCTCCATTGCCCACCAGCCAATGGAGACACTGCCACTACCCACAGGCCCAGAGGCCTGGGCACTTGCCCTGTTCACACCCAGCCCCACCCCAAAACCCCGCCTCTACAGCCCTGCCCTTAAACCCCTCCCACCCTTCCTTAGAGCCTGGCTCTAGCTTTCTGGAGGGGAGGAAGAAGTTAGCTGCCAAGAGAAGGCTGTGGGCCTGGCCTCCTCAACAGCAACTTGGCACAGACTCCCTCGTGAAACTGTTAGATGGGGTTGGTTGGCAGCACTGTGTAATTAAATAGGCTTTTGTGGATTGGCCTGGGGACTTAGCCGCCGTATATAAATGTTATTCGAGTGACTGTACAGCATTGTTTCCATGCAGAAAAGCCCTCGGAACTCAGAGCATCTGACCAAACGTGACCTTTGGGAAAGTCCTCTTGCTGTTCGGGGGGCGACCTCTGCGGGTTTGGCTCCAGCTGCAGAAAGAGCGCCAAAGAAACCTCAACTCCAGCCCGGCTAGGCTGGGAGTGGGTGCGGGAGAAACAGATGGGGGGCACCTATTTAGATCTGATCTTCTCTTAATGTGACCCTGAGAGGGAGGGAAGGGGGTGTCTGAAGCCCCTGGGCCTTGGATATTGAGATGGAGAGCATGGGTGATCCCAGAAAACCTATCCACCACCGGACCCCTGACAGATGAGATCAGGGGCTTCTTCCTCCATTCGGCCTTCGGGGTCAGGGGGTTCAGCGGGTGACAAGGGAGAGGCGTCTGAGGGACCGGGATTATTCAGCTGACCCGGTGCGGGGCCGCGTTCTCAGCGCGGGCACTAGGGGGCGGCAGAGGCGGAGGCGCCAGCGCCGAGGAGAGGCTTCCACCCTCGAGAAGTTTTTCCGCGCACCCGCCCGGGCCAGAGTGGCCGTCTAGACGCCCACGTGGGGCTTCCTGCGATCGAGAATGGGTTGGGACCGGGACGGCCAAGCCGATGCTGTCGGGGACACGCTGGGAGGAAGAAGTACGGGGAGGAGGGGCGGGGGCGCAGCCTACCCGGGCTCGGGCTCGGGGTGAAGGGCAGCCCTGCCAGGCCCGCCCCGAGGCCGCGGATGCGAAACCGGGACACAAAGGCACGCACTCTTGATTCTGGCGCCCGCGAGGAAGAGGGTTGAGGAAGAGGAAATTGGGATGAGGCCCTGGAACACGTTTTAATGCAGCGCCCTGACAGGCAGGAGCCAGGCAATACTGCTTGGGAATGTGAAGCCCCATGGGCACCAGCTAGGGGGTCCCGGCTGCGCGGCCAGCCTTGGAAGAGAGGACTTCTTGGACACCTAACCCGGAGGGAGCAGAGCTTCTGAGTGCCCAGGAGAGGGAGGCTAGGGAAGTGGGGGACAGTCAAGAGTGGGGGGACACAGGCAGGGACTGTGCGACTCCACCCAACACAAAGACTCAACGAGTATGCACGTGACTACACGTGAGTGTGGAGGGCTTGGCCACAGCCCTGTCTTCATGACAGCACAGCACAAGGCTGATGGGGAGGGATAAGGTGACCAGAGGTACAGATGCAGTAAATGTCTTGGAAGTGGGCCTCAGCCTCCCCATTTACAGAGATTAGACTGGGCTATGTAGCACCGTCCCACCCACACCGAGAAGCAATCGCACACCCGTGTCAGAAACTGGAGCCATAGGGACCCCAAACCCCTACCTGGTGTCCCTGGGGCATTGTTTGTAATTTTATGCTAGTCACCCAGGCTTTGTAAACTCTGGGCCCTGACACCCCAGCTGGACAGGGCTTGCAGGGTATCTGGATTAAGCCATACAATTCTGGTAACCACTTAGCTGGGAAGAGGAAGCATCAGATGGGTGTCGAGGGAGACTGAAATAACAACACAAGCAGTGACACAGACACCTGGGAGGAGACAATCACATTATTTAACCATCAGTCAGCATGGAAGCTGGGCACAGGGTCCTGGGAGTCCCTTCCATATGCCACACATTAACCCTTTAATTGCAGGATCAGGGAAAGTGAGGGGTGCCCAGGGGAGGGACAGGGGTGGCAATGAACATACTCAGTGGCTCAGGGCCATGGCAATTTACCAGCCAATATAGAAGAATTTTAATATTCCAGCCATCTGCGGGATGCAGCCCTGCACACACCCCACACTATTCCGTTTCTTCCCTGGGGGAGCATCCTGGCCCTCAAGTAGCAGGCAGTGCCTGCCAAACCCAGACCAAGTGGAAGAGACAGTGGGCACATGGGCCAGGCAGCCAACACCTGTGGGTTAGAGAGCCCCACCCTGGCAGAGTCAGAGCCCTGAGGCCAGGGAGACCACATATTCCAACTTTCACAGTGGGTGCGACAGGTGAGGTGGGAGGAAGGTGGGAGGGAGGTGGGGTTCAGCCCTGAAACCCCCCTACACACAGTCACTGAGGAAAGTCCTGACTCCAGGATGTGGGTGCCGGAGCCCACCCCCGAGACCCCTGTCTTCAACATCTGCTGATTTTTGTTGGCGTTTCTCTTTTTTGTTATTTTGCTTTCCACACTTTAAATAATTAATACAATTACTTTTAAATACAAAATACGCCATGTCCTTTCTCTTCTCTTCCATTTGTTTGGGGTGATTGGGAGGTGAGTTTTAAATAAGGGTCTCAGCTCTCTAACGGGTAACAGGCTCCAGGTGGGAGGGCCAAGAGCCCCAGATGCCACTCCTCCCGTGGGGTGTCCAGGCAACCACTTCACCCCTCCCCTGGCCTGCCCCGACTGAGGGCTCTCCACGCCCTGGCCCAGGGCTCCCTAGATAGTGAGGAGCCCTCTTGGGAGGTGGCACAGAGCTGATGTTGTGGGATTCCAGGTGGGCCTGGTTCCGAATGGACAGGATCAGACAGAGACGGTCCTATCCCATGAAGCAGACAGGCCCCAGCAGCACCCCTCCCCGCCTCGGTGGGGCTCCCAGGTCTGAGAAGGAGGCATCCAGCACTGGCAGCTGCTCCAGCACAGGCGTTCGCACCTCCAGCACCGTCCGGCCTTGCTGTGTCTTCAGGGGGAGACAAGGAAGAAAGTGTGAGCAGGATGGAGGCACCCCCCACCCTCTAACCTCAGGCCCAGGCTCACCTCTCCTCTGAGCACCTTGGCCCCATCAGGGTGACTCAGGATGTACAGACTGGCAGTGTCTGTGTGCCCATGCGTGTGTGTTTGCTTCTCCCCCACCGTGTGCCTCTGCTGGGCAGCCATGTGCCAGTCTGTGTACACGTCTGCATTAACCTGTGTGACGCTGGTGTTTGTACCCAAGTGAACCTCACCCGATGGCTTCCATCCTTTCCACCTTCCTCACCGGCTTTTGAGCTCCCTCAGGCATCCCTGACAATCCAGCAGGACGGACTCCTCCCTGCTCCCCCTGGGTGCCCTGCCCAAGGGGTCTTCCCACCTCCTTCCTCCAGCCTGAGTCTGAGATCAGCCCCCAACCCAGCTCTTCCTGTTCCCACCTGGCAGCCATCTCTGAATTCTTTGACATAGGGGCTAGTCTCCGGGCTCAGCTCATCCTCATTGGCCCCACGGAGTCTCAGGGGACCGTCACGGGCTGCTCCAGAGCAGGGGTAGGAGACGTCCTGGTGGGCTGAGACGCTGAGCAGCCGCAGGAAGGTGAGCTGGACCACACCCACTGGGGAGCCCTCTGAGTCCACGTAAGAGAACTGGAAGGAGAGAGAGGGCTGGCCTCAGAGGGGGAGAGAGAGGGCTGGCCTCAGAGGGAGACAGAGACGGGCCTCAGGAGCATCTACAGCACCAGGACAGCTGAGCCAGAGTCATGAGCAGGGAATGGCTGGAAGGCAAGGGCTGGGAAAGAAGTGAGGGGCTGAGTGGGAGCCAGGAGACTGGGGGTACACGAAAGGCAAAGTGAGCATCAGAGGACCGGTGAAAAGGAAAAGAAGAAAGAGCTAAGAAGTGGAGAAGGGGTGGCAGGCTCCGGGGGGGGCAACAGCCAGGGGACTGTCACCAAAACCCAGAAACCACTAAGCCCTGAGGGGGTGCACTATGGGGCAGGGGAGGGGCAGCGAGGGGCCAGCTCTCACCTGCGTGACGTCATCCCTAGGCGTCACACAGGTCTCACCCCCTGCTGTGAAGTTGCAGAAAACTCGGAAGGCATCCCGAGCACAGCCCTGGTTGGGGTCGACCCAGTACTCTCCTGTTGGGTGAGGGAGAGGGGAGGTCAGGGCCACCTAGGTCCAGGCTCCAAGATGCTCTTTGCCCCCACATTCCCTCTTCCCTCCCAGCCCTCCCCATCATGCTCTTAGTCTCCTGGTCCTCCTCCCTCCCAGAGCCCTAGAATCTAGCCCTACTGCTGGATTCTACTGCAGCATCCTACTGCTGCAGCTCACTTTCATCACGTGACACCTCTGCCCCCAACAGTAACCCCAGGCCCTCTGACTGGAGGAGGTCCGAGTATGGACAGCCTCATACTGGGACAACATGTGGTTGCAGGCGCTCACACAGATTCATCTGTTCAGGTGCAAACAGGTGTGTGCACGTATGTATGTTTATCTGCTCCTGCAGACACTGGGCTGATAACCAACTGGTACACACTGACCCAGATCAGTTGCTAAAGTATTGGGATACTTCTGACCTGGTTAGTAAATAGCTGCAGTTCCCAGCCCCTCAGCCCTCACCCTTAACCCAACACCTTCACCAAGACTCCCCCAGCATCCATTCTGCTTGTTCAGTACCCATGCTGTTGGGGAGATGTTTGTGCACCCTGAGGCTAGCACTGACCATCGGGAAGCTCTGGGTGGCACAGCTTCAGGTCCTGGCAGGTGCGAGCAGGGCTGTCCTGGGTCCCTGTTGGCCGCCTCATCTGCTCGATCTCCTCCCGCAGGGAGTCGAGTGAGCCAAAGATCTCCTCCAGCCCCCCAGGACTGCCGGGGGCTCCCCCGGTCGGTATGGCCTCATCTTCCTGCATCAGACGGCTTCCATCCACCGAGCGCCGAGTCTTCTTGGGCATCTGAATGGGCAGTGGCTGGATCACCTCGCCTGGGGGACCCTGGGTGCAGGGACAGATGGAGAGGGCAAGAGACAAGGTTGGTGTGAGGGTGAAGTGTGGCAGCAGTGGAGCAGAGGGGTACGGCCCTGGGAGCAGCCCTGACTCCTCACTCACCGGGTGTCCTGGAGGGCCCTGCACACCCTTCTCTCCCTTGGGTCCGCCTGGGCCCTGACAAGGAATAAATCAGGTCATGGAGGGGTCAAGAGGTCAAGCATGGATCAAGGTCACAGAAAGATCAAATCAGCCTCCTGGCTGGAATAAGGGGCTCCTTGGGGGGAGTCTATTTGTCCTGGAGAGACATCATCAAGTCCAGAGGGGGTGGAGCAAAGGTCAGAGCTGAAGGGGGTCACTCACTGTGGCTCCTTTGGCTCCTTTGGGGCCAGCAGGTCCCTGTGAAATGAGGAACAAGAAAGAGACGGTCACTGCAGGGGAAGGACAGGACTCAGAGGAGCGGGGAGGCAAGGTCCCAAGTCCACAGGAGCCTCGGGTTACTACAGGAGGGGCAGTCCTGTGGGAATACTAGGACATTCAGAGCCCTGGAAGTATGGGGAGGAGGTACTGGTGGTGACAGGACAAATGGGGGACCCTGAGGACTATGCTTGTTAGGCTGGTAGTTCCATGGAAGTCGTTGGGAGGCTGTGGGTGGGCAGCAGAGGGGTTTAGGGGATTTTGTGGAGGAACAGAGGCAGTACTCACGGGGAGGCCGGGGGGACCTCCAGGACCAATGGGGCCGGATGCTCCTGGGATACCCTAGGAAGGGTAGTGGCTGGTTCAACTGGGTCCTCCTCCCACACCCTCATGAGCACCTGCTCGCTTACCCACAGCTGAGTCCCAACTCCAACTCCACCCCTCTCCACCCCACTCTCAACCCCCACAACTTCCGGGACCATGCCCTCTACTCACCATCTCACCCTTCTGCCCAGGGGAGCCCTGAGGCCCAGGAAGTCCCCGATCTCCCTTCTCTCCCTGCTCACCCGGGGGCCCAATCAGTCCAATGAGACCTGGGTGGCCCTAGAGAAGGGTGCAGGCAGTCAAGAGAATGCAAAGAGGAGTCATGTGGATGGGGGAGAAGGGCCAAGAGGACATGGAGAGGGAGCCGGGCACAGGGTCCGTGAGTGGCCCTCACTGAGCAGGGACTCCCTGGGACTGGCTGCCGGAGGCCTGAAGCAGAGCAGTGGGCACTTGGGTCCCACAGGTTTCAGGGGCGAGGGTGATGGGAGAGACACCTGGCCACGTGTCTGTCTGTCACTCACCTTCTCTCCCTTGGCTCCAGCATCGCCCCGGAGACCAGGCAGCCCTGGGGGTCCCTGTGGAGAGATGGGAAGTCATTCTCTTAAGGGAGAGGTGGGACCAAGTTCTCCCCAACAGCCTCCACTTCCTCCAGGGCTTCAGCTCTGTCCCAGGGCACTGCCCTCACCCCTCACTCAGCCCAATCCCAGTCACTCACCACAGGACCTGGGGGCCCAGCCTGGCCTGTAGCTCCAGGTCGGCCTTGCTGACCCTGAAGATTTGAGGGGGCCACAGGGGTCAGGAGGAGCATCCCCACACTGCACCCCTCCCATGGCCCCTCACTCCCACCCCAGCCCAGCCCTTCCCTGCAGTGACTCACCACTGAGCCTGGGAGCCCCCTCAGACCATCAGGGCCAGGTTTCCCTGCTGGGCCTGCAGGACCCACCGGGCCTGTCTTCCCCGGGGCACCTATAGCGCCAGGATCTCCCTGAAACACACACAAGGAATGTGTCCTGAATGGCAGAGGAGTGGGGTGTGGGCAGGGGGCAGAGGGTCCAAGGTGGGAGGTGGGAGGCAGGGAGGAAGGGCCAAACTCTAGGAGCCCCTAGCGCAGGAACAAGTACAGGGAACGCCTGTCCCCATAAGGGCCCAACATGGGAGAGGTGGAGATGGGGTGGGCATCTGGAGACGGAGGCATCTGAGGGGTGGGAGGCGGAGGGGATGCTCCAGCACTAGGGCAGCCTGTCCCTCACCTTGGCTCCCTTCCCTCCTTGTCGCCCCTCGGAACCAGGCGAGCCAGCAGGACCCTGCAGGTGGAGTGGGAAGGAAGAGCACATGAGGCCGTGGGCAGCCAGGCTCAACTCTTCCCCCTTCCTGTCCTAGACACACACATACACATGCACACACACACGTGCATACACAGGGACACGCGCCGAGGGCCGATTCACAGATGTGCAGAACAGATACAGCTGTGACAGTTGTGAAAATACTGGGTAGTCTGTACATTTGGTGAAGGGCCACTTGCCCACACCCTACCTGGTGGCCCGTCTCCTGCCCCAGAAACTAAAAAGGTTCACCCCTGGCCCACAGAAAAGCTGGCCAGCCCCTCCTCCAGTTTCCATTCTGCTTTGTCAGTAACGACCACTACCCCTGGTGAAAACATACACACCAGAACCCAGGAACAAACATGCCCGAGATACCGCACACCCATCAACCCACCAGCTCCTGCACACACACTCGCCCAGTGCAATGAGATACCGCATACCCTTAAACCCACCAGCTCCTGCACACACACCCTGCCCCGGGCAATGAGATACCACACACCCTTAAACCCACCAGCTCCTGCACACACACACACCCAGGGCAATGCAGACACCAGGCACCTCCCCACCCATCCCACCTGCCATTGCCCAGCCTCCACCCACACAGCCCAGGGACTGCCTCCCAAGGTCTCAGGGGTCCACCTCACTTACTCGCTTTCCAAGTGGCCCTGGGGGTCCATTCTCCCCGGTGGGACCAGGGGATCCCTAGGGAGAGAGGAATTGGGGTGGCTGAGTGTTTATCCTCCAGCCAAGGGACCCCTCAGGAGTGGGGCACAGAAGAGGGGTAAAGAGGATGAGGCTTGGGCTCAGGGGGGTGGTGGGGTCACCAGGCACTCACAGGCTGTCCTGGCTCACCATCCTCGCCTCGGTCACCCTTAGCACCATCCTGGCCCTGCAGAAGTGAAGCAAGGTCAGAGGTGGGCCCCCAACTTGGCTGGCATCACCTCCAAAACTGTCAATACCCCATCCCCTTGCCCACCCTGCCATACCCCCAGCTTCCCAATACCCAAGCCCAGCGGCCACACAGAGGACCCCCCCCATAGAAGCCCCACCCTTTTTGCCCCTTCCCTTCTCTGAGTAAGACTCACCCGAGGGCCACCTTCTCCAGGGGGGCCAGGGTCACCAGGAAAACCAACAGGACCCTGATCCAGATGGAGAATAAGAGTCAGGGTCACAGCTCCCTAAGCCCACCCAGCACAGACGCCCACAGGCACACGCCACTGCCTCTCTAGAGGCAGTGCCCACCAGTACCCCCCAGGAAGAGGTCTCCTGCACCCCTTTCCCTACCACGTGCACTGCGTGTTGTCTAATTCCTCAAGGTATTAACTGCAGGGCATCTCTCACTTTCTCTCCGGATCCTAGACCCCAGGCATCCCTCTGGATGCCCCATTCCCAGAGCATCCCCCAAACTCCCGGGCTCCCCACACTCCAAGATCCTCCCTCACACACACCCATATTCCCAGGTCTGTCATTCACAGGGCCTGAGAGGACTCAGCCCCCACTGCCCCAAACTCACAGGGTTCCCTTTGGGGCCATCATCGCCTGTGGGGCCTTTAGGCCCTGGTGGCCCTGGCTCTCCTGGCTGCCCCGACTCTCCTTTCTCTCCACGTTCCCCGCGTGGACCCTGCAGAACAAGCGGAGGACACAGATGGCCCAGGGAATCTTGAAGATCAGGGATGCAGCCTCTGCTTCCGAGACACCTTCAGCCATCCCCTACTCCCCTCAGTGACAATGGGACATACACAGAAAGTCAAGCCTATAAGGGGAGTTCCCTAGTCCCCTTCCCTTCAAGAAAGGGGAAGAAGGGCTCACTCAGACCAGGGATCAGGCCTCATAGAGGATGGCAGGGAGCAGAGACTCTTGCTGCAGAGGAGTTCCAGCTCAAGGAGGTCACAGGAAAAGTGGAGGCAGGGTTGAGGCGGGTGACGGGGACTGGGGAGTAAGGCCTTGGAGCTGTCACTCACCTTGACACCTGGCTCGCCCTGGATCCCTGGAGATCCTGACTCTCCTGGTTCCCCCTGCAAAGAGATTAGAGTCAAAAACCTCCTCTCCTTCCCCAGCCAAAAAATTCTGATATTCCCCATATCTCATTCTCTTTTGTCTCCCCACCCAAAATTGGCAGAAATCCAACTCCCATCCCCCACTTCCATGACTGGTCCACTCACCCCCTTCCCAGTTACCTTCTCTCCAGGGGGACCCAGGTTCCCAACACCTCCTGGGGGACCTTGTGGGCCCTGGAAGAGGAACAGAAATAGGTGTCATTGCTTAGGATGGAGGTGCCATTTCAGGGGCAAAGTCCCAGATGAGCAGCCCAAGGTTACAGCAGTGAGGCAGTGGAGGCCTCCCGGGAGTAAGGGCTTCTCTTGGCCCCTGAGACGATACTAGAGTTTATGGTCTGGGAAAGGGAGGCAGAAGACCAGACACATTGGTCTCAAGGGACAGGGGCTGAGATGACTCACATCAGCGCCATTGGGTCCAGCTGGACCTCGAGGTCCTGGGGGGCCAGGTGGTCCCTGGGGGAAACAGATACACCACAGATGAGGAAGGGAAGTGAGATGGCTGAGCATGAATGGTGGAGAGAGGAGGAGGAGCAGCCAGGCCAGGGAGTTGGCAGTGGGGTGTGGGGTGGGGGCTGGCCAGGGAGGGGGGTGACTAGTATGGTGGCTAGGGTCAGTAGGGGTCACACTCACCATAGGACCCACATCTCCTGTTTCTCCCTTCTCCCCAGAGGGGCCTGGCAAACCCTGTGCAAGTATACAAAACATGGGCCCAGGTGACGACCCCACCCAAAGCACAGCCCTAGGCAGATAGGCCCCACAGTCCCCTCCCCTCAGACTCCGCAGGCCCTCCAGTCCGCATCGGCAGGCTGCTGGCAGAGTCTGGGGCAAAACATCACCCCATCCTGACCCCACCTCTCAGCCCCTGTCCTATCCCCCAACACACCTGTAGGCCAATGGGTCCTGGGGGCCCATTGAATCCTCTTGTTCCTTCATCACCTTTGGCTCCAAAGTGTCCCTGGGGTCCCCGAGCTCCAGGCTCCCCATCTGCTCCCTGCAGGGTTGAGGGAAAGCAGAGACAAGGACACAGGGATGGGTCATGGGTCGGTGTTCTCTATCCACAAATACCACACACAGCTGGGTGCCAGGCCCAGAGCCCCTGCTCCCACTCCCAGCCACAAGGGCAGAGGGGAGCTGAGGGAGGACCAGAGGCTGCTGGGCCTTCGGTGGGGGTGGAGGGGTCACTCACCGCTGCTCCAGGCTGCCCCACAGGACCAATGGGTCCAGGGGGTCCAGGAGGGCCCTGGGTAAGAAAAGAGAGTCAGAGACACCAAAACAGGGAGAGAGATCAGGTGGGACTGAGGTTAAAGGCCAGGAGGTCAGAAGTCAAGGTCATGGACACTTACATGTTCACCCTTGTTCCCTTTGGTGCCCTTCTGTCCGGGGTCCCCCACCTCACCCTGGGAGGAGAAGGCAGACAAGATATTAGAGAAAGGTGATGGGTAGAGTGGGAAGGATGACATGACAGGGGCCAGGGGTCATGCCCAGGTCAGCCATCTCATCTGGAAAGAAGATTGGTCGGGGTCTGTGGGGTCCCCTCACCTTGTCTCCATCCTCTCCAGCCACACCTGGAGGCCCAGCAGGACCAGGAAGCCCCACAGGACCCTGCACTCCATCTCGGCCAGTTGGGCCAATGGGGCCCTTCTCACCCTGTGGGACAGGAGGAAGGAGTCATGGCCTGGAGGTGACCCTCACCCTCAAACACCCCACAGGAAACTTGTCATAGCCCATCAACCCTAGGCTCACAGACCCCTCCCCAGTACCCCTCCCCAAGACCCCCACACTCACTGGGACACCTTTCTCTCCTGCTGCTCCAGGGGGACCCTGCGGGCCTGGGCGCCCTGGCGGACCAATGGGTCCCCCTGATCCTGCTGCACCTCGTTCCCCAGGGGAGCCCTGAGAAAGCAGATGGTCAGACCCCCAGGAAGGAGACACCAGCCCGCCCATACCAGAGAACCTCGGACCACAATTCCCAAAAGCTCCCAAAATCAGATGCATTCTGGCTGTCCCTGGACAGCCTCTGCCCAGCCCCACAGCCCCTGGTGGTATCAGAATGCCACTCCCACCCTTCCTCACCCACCCCTTTCCCGGGTCCTTCCTACCACTTCCGGAACCCCAGACTCACTGCAGGGCCAGGGGGGCCAGACGGACCTTCATTCCCCTTCAAACCAGGTCCACCCTATGAACCAGACATTTGGGGAAGATGAGACTTCACGAAAAGAGAAGGGTGAGAGCTGGAGAGGGAAGACAGGCTCCAAAAGATGGAAGTGGGGAGTGACATGGAGGGGGTCAGGGACAGGGTCGGGGGGGGGACTCAGGATGCTTGGTGCTTGTGACAGGCAGGGGTCTGGGAGTCACACTCACAGCAGTGCCTGGGAGGCCTCTCTCTCCTGGGAATCCCCTCAGACCAGCAGGACCATCCTTCCCTGGGGCCCCAGGGGGACCAGGGTCACCCTAAAAGGAAAGGAGAGGTGATGAGCCACAGCCATGCTCCCAAATTAAACAGAGAGCTCTCCAGCCCCCCCTCAAATCTCCAACTACCTGTTCCTTTCAGCACCCCAATCCCCAGCTCCCCCACTTCCCCTCTGCCTGGCCCCTCACTGACCTTTGTTCCTTCTTTTCCAGCTGTCCCAGGTAGTCCCTGCTCTCCAGGGGGCCCCGGGGGGCCTGGGTGACCTCTCTCCCCCATAGGGCCGGTTTCTCCTGCTGCTCCCTAGACAAAAGCAGAGAGAGTTCCTGCTCTCAGGCCCTTCATCTCGCTGTCTGCCAGAAGAGCCCACCCTGGCCACCCTAAAACACTCCTTCAGAACCCCTTTATCCCTGCCCCAAAGCTCCTGGGAAATTCCCCGGCATTCCTGGGCCACTGCTGGGTTTTCTCCTGCCCCATGTGGAGTAACTACACCACCTTGTGTCTCTGTTGGGGAACTGCCTCTCCTGGGGGACAAGACGATGAGAATGCGCCCCAAAACAGACTGAAGTTCAGGACCCCTGCCTGAAATCCCAGCCCCCACCATTGACCCCAGCCCCAGGAGTCTGGGTCAGGTGGACCGGGGCAGGGGCGTGTGACCGAGAGAAGAGGGGCAGACAGACTAATGCTAGGGTCAGGGGTCCATTCTCTCCTAGGGACAAACCTACCTGAGGTCCCACCACTCCTGGAGGACCAGGGGGGCCGGTCTTCCCTTGGAAACCCTAGGCGAGGAAGAGAGGAGAATGCAGTGAAAGCAGGTGTGGGCGCTGTGGGGCAGATTCCCAGGAGGAAGGATCCCAGGCAGGATCACACCGAGCCCTGGGCCCTGGGTCTGAGCAGCACCAGGGCAGGCTCCACTCTGCCAGGAGAACGTCCCTGTGGGCTTTCCAGACAGCTCTGGGGTTAAAGGGTCTGATGGAGCCCCCTGAGAATGGGTAGCCAGGAGCATCACTCACCACTTCTCCTCTTTGGCCTGGGTGTCCCGGCAGCCCGTCCTTCCCAGGGGGGCCCTGGAAGGGGTTCAGTTGTCAGGTGAACTCTCAGCTGGAAAGCAGGTAGGGAAGAAGGACTCAGAGAAGCGAGGGGGGTCAGAGCTCGGGGTCAACTTACCGGGGGTCCTTTCGGTCCAGGAAACCCGTTGGGACCCTGAGGTCCAGGGAGGCCCTAGAGACAGAGGTGGGGGGAGTCAGGAGAATGGGGGCAGGGGCTGAGTGGGGGAATTCAGCTTCCTTCCTGGGGTGAGGAGGGAGCTGGCTCACCCAGGCTCCCTGGGGACCTCAGGGGAAGGGGACTTTCGATCCACACTTACCCTCTCTCCAGGGGGCCCATGGGGGCCATCACCACCAGATGTTCCCTGTGGGGGGAAACAGAGTCAAGGAGTGGGAAGAGCTGCTTTCCAGCTGTCCCCGAGGTCAGGATGTTGAGGGAGAGCTGGGGCTGAGTGGGCAGGGGGCAGTTGGAGCCTTGTAGAGACCATTCACCTTAGCTCCAGACTTCCCAGTGGCACCTCGGGGTCCCCGCTGACCCCGTGGACCCTACAGAGGGAAGAGGAGTTGTCAGAGAAACCCAAATGCCCCCCTCTGGACCTTGAGCCACCTGTTTCTCTCCCCTGCACTCACCGTGGGGCCCCGTTCTCCCCGAGGCCCTGACTTCCCCGACAGGCCCTGGTGGGAATGAAGCAGAGAGAACATTACCCAGGGTGAGACTCCCCACAGACCCCCTCTACACCTCTCCAGCCCTTCCCTTCTCACCCCCTCCCACCCCCCAGCTTACCCGGGCTCCCTTCTCTCCACTGGCACCAGGAAAGCCAGGAAATCCTAGGGACCCCTGGTGAGAACGGAGAAGGGGGGAAATTGAGAAGTTATGAAAGGTAGGGTTCAGGAAGGGGCAAAGGGGGTCAGGAGAGGCCACAAAGGCAGTGGCCAGGGAGACCCGAGCTCTGCCAAGAACTAAGTGGCCTTGGACAAACCCCTGCTGCTCTCTGGGCCTCTTTCGGTCATCTGTAAAATGGGGGTCAGCTAAATTCCCTCTGGGGTCCCCCACTGCCCTGCATCTGTGCTTTCTGGAATCAGGGATCAGGGAAGGGAAGAGGAGGAGGGAAGAGGAGGAGGGGCACGTATGGGGCATGGCATCACCTTGGGTCCCTGACGTCCAGGATAGCCAGGCAGACCAGGAACACCCAGCTTGCCCTGTGGAGGGACAGGAAGCAGTTAGGAGTGAGAGGAGGCCCAGATGCCACTCCACCCCTGGAGACCTCAACCCTCACATATAACAGCCAGCCCCCACCCAGCAACACACCCCACACACCCCAGCCTCTAGCCCCTCATTGCTTGCCCCACAGCTGCCTGACTTTTGTTGTCTCTCCTTCCCATGAGTGGATTTTCCCCAATTCTAGTGCTGGGATCCCACCTCCCCTGCGCCTACAGAGGTATCAGGTCCTTCAGGGTCACTGTGATCTAGCTGCTTCCCACATGTCAACCTCAGCTCCATCTACCCCATGAGGGAGGTGGGATCTACCCCAGCACCCACTCCTGCTTCACCAAGACCAATCCCCCTGCAGGCCCTTTGCCCACCACACCCCGACTCCCGTGCATGCCCCCTTCCCCAGAGGCTCCAGGGCTCACCCTGCCCAGGCAGCTGCAGAGCAGGGCTTAGAAGCAGAGATTCTGAAGCCAGACTGCCTGGGCATAACCCCTGGCTCTGCCCTTCACTGGCCATGTAATCAACAAGCATCCCTGTGCCTCTGTAAAACCTCAGCAAAACAGTACGTCACATGCCTACCTCATAGGATAGATAGGACGCATCAGCACAGCACCTGGCATAGGGCAAGTGCTGGGGAGAGTCAGCTCTGGAGACCACAGACCTCACTGCTATTAGACTCTCTCATCTCAGAACTCCTGCTGCTTGGAGTCCGAACGCATGTTCACTCTGCCTTGAAGCAACAGCTACTCTCTAAGCTTCGTCTCCGTCCAACTCTTCGTGTCAGGGACTTTTCCCTGACTTCTTATATATCCCCTCTGCCCATCAGCAGCTGAGAGATGCCATTTACACAGACAGAAGTATGACTAATGCATGGCCATCTTCAACTGACTGGCTGACTTCAGCGGCGGGCACCCATGCCCATCCTGACCCCAGTGCCCACACCCCCAGAGGACCCAGGCACAGAACCCTCATCCCATCACCTTCTCGCCCATGAGCCCTGGGGGCCCAGGGTCTCCAGTCGGTCCAGTGCGTCCCTTTGGCCCCTCAGGACCATCCTCTCCCCTGGAACCAGGGACTCCAACTTCGCCCTGTGTGAGAGGGAAGGACAGGTGAGTGCTGGGGACTGGAGGTGGGCTCTGGGCCCAGAGGAGAAATGGGCAACAGTGAGGCTGAGGAGGGCTAGAGGGGTCCCAGGAGCCACTGCAGGACAGGAAGCCCACAGGGTAGGGATAGTGTAGTGATGGGAGGGCAGGCATGACACAGACCATGGGGCTATCATCCTATAGGGGTCAGGCTCCCAAGGGAACACAGCACTGGAACTGTGGAGTCTGGAGACTCAGGAGAATAAACCGGTGCTTGGCGTCTCCAGAGTGGAGGCTCAGTAGAACACGGAATTGGGGCCAGTGTGGGGTCTCTACTCACCCTGTCACCTTTCACGCCTATGTCACCTTTGAACCCAGGAAAGCCATCCTCACCCTGAGAAAGATAGAGGTGAGAGGGCACCACAGATGACAGAGGGCTGGGGTTCTAATGGGAATTCTGAGAACATAGGTGGAAGCAGGGGCTCGGGAGCTGGACGGCAGTGCGGGGCAGGCTGGAGGGAAGGCAGTGAAGAGAGGAGATGGCAGGACTGAGGTGCTGGGAAGCTGGGGGCATGGTGCTCACCTTCTCACCCTTATGACCCTTCAGACCCCGAATTCCGTCCACACCCTAGAATTAGAGAGGGGATAGAAGTAGACTGATCAGGGGATGGAGGTGGGTTGGAAGGACCAAGCTCCTAAGACCCCATATAGCTCCCCTGACCACAGCCCTTTGTCTCCCAGCCTGGTGGTCAGTTACCTTGACCCCTCGAGGTCCTGGGTATCCTAGAGGTCCCTGAGGTCCAGAGGGACCCTGGAAGATAAAAGAGAGGCATTTATAAAGGGGCCTCAGAGTGTCACTGTGGGGGCCTCCAGGGGTGGAAGAAATGGAAGTAACAACATTGCTGTCTGGGTAGGGTTACAGGGCACAGGAATTGAGAATGTGGCAGAGCCATATGAATAATGAGACAAGGGAATCCCAAGGACTTTGAGGCTCTAGAGTCTGAGTGGAGACTCCCTCAGGGGATAAAGACATGGAAGATCTCACCTGGTTTCCTTTGGTTCCAGGGGGACCTTCCTTCCCTGGGTGACCCTGGGAGTAAGGGATAGAAAATGTGACCAGTGGCCCCTGTCACCCTCTCTGCACCCCTCCCTACACTTCTTCCAACCCAAATTTCCTGTGACCTAGTGAAGCCAACTGTCCATGGACAAGCACCACCAGTGACCTTTCAGTGCAAGGGTCACTAAAGGAGCTCTGAGGTCATGCACTGGGGTGGAAGGCCAAGGGGAACTGGATTCGGAAGTGGGGTCCCACTCACCGGGGGTCCGTCTGAGCCAGGCATGCCGGGGAGCCCTGGCTTCCCTTGAGGACCCTGCAGGAAGACAAAGAGGCTCAGGGTCACTAGAGGGGTCATGTCTGGACACAGACAAAATCCCAGCAGACATTTAGGGTTCTCCCTACATCCCCACTCTAAACCCCCTGTCCTCCAAATCACTTAGTCACTTACCTTCTCTCCATGAGGGCCGATGGCACCCTGGGGCCCGGGAAGACCCTACATACAGGGAAAGAGAAGTCACAGGGGCCTCCCAGGGTCTCTTCTATCCAGCCTCCCGGATTCAAAGCATGAGCAACAAGGGCCTGAAACCCTTAATTTCCTGTATCCTTCCAGGGTCTCACCCATTGTGGAAGCCCAAGGGAAGTCATGAAAATTGGGGAACGGAGTAGGGGCACCGCTCACCTGGGTCCCAGGGGTGCCCTGTTGTCCAGGAGGTCCTGGCTCTCCCTGGGGTCCCTAGAAACAGGTGACCAGGCACAGGTCAGAAGGAGATGGAGATAGAACACATTTAGAGCATGGAGCTGAGTCCCAGCAGCGATAGCCAAGAAGGCAAGAGCAGGAAGCAGGCAGGGGTCAAAATGGAGGCCAACAGGATGCTGGCAGGGACCTCGGGGGATAAGAATGGGGGTGGGATCTCCTATCCATCACTCACCAAGCTCCCTTTGGGGCCCTGGGGACCATCCATGCCTCG
The DNA here is from genome assembly GCF_000001405.40 of Homo sapiens. Lineage (NCBI taxonomy): Eukaryota > Metazoa > Chordata > Mammalia > Primates > Hominidae > Homo > Homo sapiens. The sequence continues at coordinate 4,597,174 of NT_167246.2, forward strand.
GACGCCCTGAAACACAAGATGGGTGTGAGCAGCCTGAAGGTGGCCCGGAGGGACCTGTGGTTTTCAGAGGCCCGGCCATTCCCGAGGGTGTGACGGTCAGACCTCCAATCCATCCCAAACCCAAGCAAACACAGCTGGCCCAGGCCTGCAGTGTGTGGGACTGTGGATCTGTGGGCTTGTGGGCTTTGGTTTTGTTTTTCTTGAAGATTTATTTCCTATGCCCAGAGCCCTCGGGGCACCACGCCACATGGCCCTCCCTGTGCACGGGGAGCGAATGCTGAGGCAGGGCAGTGTGGGGCCAGAGCAGGGGGAGCTCACAGGGAATGGGAAGCATGCCGAGAGAGGAGAGGGAGCAGGAAGGCAGCTAGAAAGGTGGAGAGTTGGAGAGGTCAAGGGGTCACCTCAGGGTCAGAAGTCAGGGAGTCACTTACAGGGGGTCCAGGAATACCAGGTGGGCCTTTGGGGCCAAGGAGACCTCGAGGTCCCTGCATTCACGGTGAGGGGAGGAGACGGCATGAATGGATAAAACTGTGTCCCTTTAGTGCTCATGTCCCCCTCCTGGCTTCCCCAGAGCCCCCTCCCCCAGCACCAGCCCTTGGACACTCACCGACTCTCCAGGCAGCCCTCGAGGCCCAATCTCCCCGTCATCTCCCTGGAGGAGGAGGACACGGTAAAGCTGCTGTGCCTTCTAGACCTCCCCTGCACCCAGCCCCTACATTTGCCACTACACTTACCCTCTCTCCATCCTCACCAGGGGGACCAGGAAGGCCCTGGGCACCAGTATCACCCTGCAAAATGGGGGAACTCATAAGAGGGGCTTCAGAGCCCCCAACACAGGCAGACACCGAACCTCTGCACTTAGCCCATCCATTACTTTCACTGAGCTCCTGCCAAGCCTCCAGCCTCCCTTCCCTACCTATCCTCACTCCCATAGAAGATCTATCCCCAATTACAACACACACCCACTAATGTACTCACCCTATGGCCCTTCTCTCCAGGGAGCCCTGGGAGTCCATCAAAACCTCGGTCACCCTAGGAGGAGGAAGGATAGCCAGAGTGAGGACACGACCCTGTCCAAGCCCACCCCTCCCTACTGCACCCTGAGCTGGGGGGGTGCTGATCCTGGGGAAGCCTGGAGAACTAGGTCATCCCCAAGAAACAACTGAGCCCAGCGTGGGCTGAAGGCTACAGGCTTCAGGGAGGGGCCCAAGCCTGTTACCTTCACTCCAGGATCTCCAGGCATCCCTCGGGCTCCATCAGCACCTGCCCGGCCCTGGGAGAACAAGGGAAGTGTCAGAACAAGCAGGGCCGCAGTCCCCTACCCTGCAGGCCCTGTCTCCCCACAACACCCATCCACCCCTGGGGCACTCACCCTTCGCCCAGCCTTGCCAGGAGGGCCTGTGAGGCCCTGAGGTCCTCTGGGGCCCTGGTGAGAGGAGAGATGGGGTGGGGTTAGGAGGCATAGGGAGGGGAGTGAGGGAGACTGAGCTGGTGAACAGATATGGGGGTGCAGTGGAGGAAAGTGGTCACCTGAGGTCCTAAGTCTCCAGACTCTCCTTTCAGGCCAGGGCTCCCAGGTTGGCCCTGGGAGAGAGAAGAGAGGATGGCCGTAAGGAAGGACACAGCCAACAGTGGCCTCGGAGTGTTCCCCAAAAGAAGCCCCTTTCCAGAACTATCCACACCCCACACACAATTAAAGCATCCTCCACCCGAGCACCCTGCTCACTCACCAAGGGTCCAGGGCGCCCTGTGTATCCCATGGGGCCAGGGGGTCCACGGAGCGCCAGCTAGGGGAGCAGGGGGACAGCAGAGCTGAGGGACAGGCAGTGGGAACCCCCAGCCCCAGCACTCTCCAAATTCACCCTTCCTCTCCTGATCCTCATCCACTGCCCAGGATTCTCCCCAACCTCCCTGTTAACCCCAAACCAACCCAGGCCTCCCCTGCCGCACACTCACTCCAGCCAACCCTTCCAGTGCCCCCCAGAGCCTTCCCTTTCCAGGGAAGCAGCCCCACTCACCCTCGCCTGCTGCAGGATCGCCTGGGCCTGAGCCTCCTGGGCCGCCACCACAGGGCCCTTGTCACCCCCACCACTGCCAAACCGGAACTGAGGGCAAGGAGAGAAGGTCCAGGTTCTCTTCCAAGAAAGCCATGGGACCCTCCCAGCCAGAGGCTTTCTCCAGCGTTTCTGCCCCTTGCCCCAGGTTCTGCCCATCCAGCATTTCCCATGGCTTCCAGATAATCACTTAGAGGATTCCAGAAACTCAACTCCTGCCCTCCTCCACTGTCCAGCCTCTGCCTCCAGAAAGACTCTCTTTTGGTTCTAGAGCTCCTGAAATATAGGCTGTTCTGCCCAGTCCTAGAAGACTGGTGTTTTGTTCTAGGTCACCTAATGAGGCCCCATCTCCCCAACCCCAAAGACGAATCCCTTTGGAGTGATGATCTTTGATGATCTTTAGAGACTCCTCCATATCTTTCCTGCCCATCTGGTTCTTGGTAACATGACACAATTCCTTGTCTTCCCCATCAGCATGTTCCAAAACCCAAGAGACAACTCACTGGGAGCATGAGAGATGTGCCAGGAGGACCAGGAGCCCCATCTGATCCAGGGAGCCCTGCTCGGCCAGGGGGGCCCTGGAGTGGGAAGAGAATGCAAAAGATGGGGTGAAAGATAAGGGGACATCAAGATCTTAGCATGATTTTGAAATATCCTCTTCAACAGAATAAGTGTAGATTGCTCTAGCTCTTTCCTGAGTCTCCCACCCCCATGGGGAAAATTGAGGGTGAGAAACCAGATCAGCACCCTCCCCAACCAGAGTCTGCCCTCCTTTCTGGTTGCTGGGAAGCACAACCATCCCCTCATTCATTAACAAGCCACCTAACAGGAAATTACTGGGCATGGTAGCCCCCCGCTTGGATACCACTAGCTCCCCCGAAGCTCCCCCGTCACATGGAGGACACCCCCTTACCCTCTCTCCAGGGTCTCCAACTGGGCCTGGGTTCCCCTGGATGCCAGGGGGACCAATCAATCCCTGAGGAACAAAAGAGTAGGGGTCAGGTGTGGGCATTCAGACAGGTGTGGACACTCAGCCTGTGGCTGAGGAGTGGTCTGTGCAGAACAGATCTGGGAATCTGGGAAGCGTTGATTGGAGGGATGCTCCCGAGTTCTGAGGAGGAGGCCTGGGCATATGTGGGGAAGGCTCAGATGAGCACATAGAAGGGGTTTCTAAGAAAAGAATGGCCACCAGGTCACTGCTAGACTTACCGCAGGGCCTTCTGGGCCAGGGGGCCCCTCCACGAGCATACCCTGTGGAGTCAAAGGTTAAAAATCAGAGGCGACAGGACCAGCACACTCAACCCCACTTGCTTCTCCTATTTCCACTGCCTCAGCCCTGTGACCAGCATAACTTACAGGTTCCAACACTGCAGGCTCTCCTTTCTCTCCCTTCAGCCCTCGGGGTCCATGGGCAGCCTGAAGGAGACACACATGTAGCCCCCAGTGGGGCCCGTGAGCAGCCAGGACACTAGGCCTTTCTCCATCTCAACTCCAACCTTGATTCTTAGATCCTCTCGAGACCACTTCAGCCCTACCCGAAAGCCCCACAGCCCTCCCCTAAAACTCCCTCTTCACAAACCTTTCAAGCCTGCCAAGGAGACCTCAGGGTTCCCTGCCCCCCAGTTCCCAGCCCCACCTCAGCAAACACAACCTCTCCATCTCCCTGAGAGCCTCTTTCAGGAAGGTCCCCAGAAACTTCCAGTGTTTTTGTTTGTTTGTTTGTTTTTCTTTTTTTTTGAGACGAAGTCTTGCTCTGTCACCCAGGCTGAAGTATAATGGCGCGATCTCGGCTCACTACAACCTCTGCCTTCCAGGTTCAAGTGATTCTCCTGCCTCAGCCTCCCAAGTAGCTGGGATTACACTGGGATTACAGATGTGCACCACCATGCCCGGCTAATTTTTGTATTTTTATTAGAGATGGGGTTTCACCGTGTTGGCCAGGCTGGTCTCAAAATCCTGACCTCAGGTGATCCGCCTGCCTTGGCCTCCTAAAGTGCTGGAATTACAGGCGTGAGCCACCACACCTGGCCCCTTTCAGGGATTTTAAACCACCCACCTTCCCAAACCCTCTTCTAGAGGACCCTATCCCATCTCCCAAACTCCCTCCCTAGAACCTTAAGAAACCTTCCACACATTTACCCCAATACATCATAAAAGAATCTCTCTAAGATTGTGGGTAGATTTTTATTTGGGGTAAGAGGAGGGCATGGACCCACATGAGAACCTGATAAAAGCTAGGCCGGGCGAGGTGGCTTACGCCCATAATCCCAGCACTTTGGGAGGCGGAGGCAGGCAGATCACCTGAGGTCAGGAGTTTGAGACCAGCCTGACCAACATGGTGCAACCCCATCTCTAATAAAAATACAAAATTAGCTGGGTGTGGTGGCACATGCCTGTAATCCCAGCTACTTGGGAGGCTGAAGCAGGAGAATAGCTTGAACCCAGGAGGTGGAGGTTGAAGTGAACCAAGATTATGCCATCGTACTCCAGCCTAGGCAACAAGAGCAAAACTCCATCTCAAAGAAAAAAAAGAATCTGATGAAAGCTGTGAGTCTTTCTCCAGAAATGAAAAAGTATATGCTATTATGCACAGAATTTTATTTAGGATTTCAAAGGGTTCACAAGTTTAAATATGCCCCAAAGGTTAAGCATCCATACTCTAAGTAAATTTGGAGGCCAGGCACGGTGGCGCACGCCTGTAATCCCAGCACTTTGTGGGGCCGAAACAGGCAGCTCATTTGAGGTCAGTAGTTTGAGACCAGCCTGGCCAACATGTGAAACCCCGTCTCTACTAAAAATACAAAAAATAGCCGGGCGCAGTGGCACATGCCTGTAACCCCAGCTACTCGGGAGGCTGAGGCAGGAGGATCGCTTGAACCCAGGAGGCAGAGGTTGCAGTAAGCCAAGATCCTGCCACTGCACTCCAACCTGGGTGACAGAGTGAGACCCTGCCTCAAAAAAAAAAAAAATTGGAGAGCAGTCCCCACTGAATGCATTGCCCTTCCTCTGGCCCTCAAGTACATTCCAAGCCCACCAGTTCCCTCCCTTGCACACCTCCACTCAGATACCTGTTCCCAACTCTAGGGCCAGAAACAAAATAAGAACATGGAGAATGGGAGACATTCACCACCACCCCAACTCCCCCCAACAAAGATCTTCAGAATGCCCCTCTCCACCTTCATTCTGACCAAACAGCAATGATCCGTTTCAAAATTCTCTGAAATCCCATATCAACCCCAAATACCCAGAGAGCAGCATAAAGGAAAGGCAGTAGAAGCTCAAGGGAGGCAAGAGAGGGGAGGTATGGGATGCGGCAGCAGGGTAGAGGAGGCAGCCAGAACTGCAAGGCAGGCAGAAGACGGAGCGGAGTAGACAGGAAGCAGTCCCACTGACAGGGAATACTGGAAGATATGAGAACAACTAAGGGACACAGAACAAAATGACAAACACTTGGAAGCAAGAATGATGCCAGGGCCGAAGAAAATTAAACATGGCCAACATGGCTAGAAAACAAACTGGACAAACAGGAAGTGGCTGAACAGACAGGAAGCAGTGAAGGAAAGAGGATCCAGGAAGTGAACCTTCAACAACAACATGGCTACCGTGACCCAGAGAGAAAAGAAAGGCACAAAACAGGTAGAATGTGACTCCTGCAAAGGGAATCATGACAGTGAAGGGTAATTCTTCCAGAAAACACAAACATCAAGGCTAGGACACACAGGAAGTAGCCATGAGAAATATCGAGGCCCACAATGGAAACTTTATGATTTAAATGACCTGAGACATACAGGAAGTGGCTTATTGTCAAAGGAAATTGTCACAAGATAGCATGAAAAACTAGAGCCAGAACAGAAATAATAAATCCTTTGCAGTCCAACCTGACACAGTTACCAAGATGGATGCCACAGCTGGAGAAGGCAGGAAGGGACAGATAATAAGTGGCCTGTAGGTTAAAAAAAGGTGACATAGGAAGTTAGATCGTTTGGTAGAAACATGAACAAAAAATTATTTCACCAAGAAGAAATGATAGAGAAACACTGAAAATGGACACAAGGTAGTAGTTTATTGACCAAAAGCTTTATGAAATCCAGCTTCAGTTAGACAGGAAGTGATCAAGAAAGACAGGAAGTGGCTACATATTTTTTTTTTTTAATTCCCAATTGCCCTGAGCTTCAGAAGTATCCACAAGAGTCACAAGGTAAGACATTTGGCAAAGGAAGGCAGGTAGTAATCTTTTCAAGCAACATATACATCATATGTGAACAGAAAATGACAAGTCACAGATGGGAAATAGCTCACAGCCAACAGCCAAGGATCGAAACCAACAAGAAGCAATTCTTGTAGCTCCCACTGGTAGTCAAGAATGAAAGAGAAGCTCCTTTCACTTACGGCTCCTGAGTGGGCTGTCTCCGCAGAGAGGGCAGGGCCAAGCTCTGTCTCCTCACGATAATCATCCCCATAGCCATAGGTGTAATCGTAGGGCCCTTCAGGGGGGTCTGTGCCACCCTCCCCATATTCCTCTGCCTGGAACCTGTCGGCTGTGGGGGGGACCTGGAGATCTGTCTGCTCCTTCCCAGGGATGGGGAGGGAGAGGGGTAGATGGGGATGTTAGGGCTGAGAGGAGGCTTACCCTGGACCCCAGGGTGTGACAACTTCTAGCCCAAAGGATTCCAAGGTTAATCAGAACTGGATTTTTTCTCCCAAGAATAGCCATGGGAGTGGTTGTATATAAATGGAAGGGCCATCAAAGGCCAAAAATGGGGAGAGATGTCCAGAAAGTGGGTCCAGTGGGAAGAAGTGGTGGATAAAATGAAGGGTGGCCAGAGGACTGGATGCAGAGTGGACAGTCCATGGACACAATGACAGACAAAGGAGTCCAGGAATGACCAAAGAGATAGGGAAGACAAAAGGTGACAACACTGGACAGAAAGTGGCTCCCGGGAACAGAAATAGGACATAGAAAGTAAGACCATTAGACACCAACATGGAGACGAAGTCACTCAGGAATCAAAGAATCATGGAAGGAGGCCTGGATACTGAAGGGAACGGGCTGGACTTAGAGAGTCAAGCAGGCCCATAGTTCTAGAGTGACCCAAAGACAGAGGCCATCGATGGAAATGAGGAAGAACCCTCCGGCCAGAGGAGGGGCTGGTCCATCAAGACGTCATGGGCTGAGGGGAGTGAGTCACAGGTGCCCACTGCCCCCAGATGGGGTGAGGGTGGGGCATAGAGTTACCTCCTCAAGGGGTGGCAAGAGGCTCGACTCCAGGATTTCTTCCTCTTCACCTGGGGTGGGGTCCTGTCCCCAAGGAGAGAAGGAGAAGAGTAGCACGGGGTGGGAAGGAAGGAGAAAGGTTAGCAGAAGGGAGGCAAAGCAGCACCTGTCCCCCGAGGGCAGGGTCTGTCTGTGCTGGGGGATGGGGGAAATCTCAGATCTTGCAGCCCCTTTGGAGGGGGATAGTTTGGGGAGAGTGAACCTCCAAGGTCATAGAGGTTTGGGGGCAGAGATCTGGATGCCCCGGCTCTACCTGCCGGTAACTGCTGCCTCTGGTCCTGGGGCGGGGCCAGGCAGTGGGGGAAGCTGCCCTCCGAGCTGGGCATCGGGAAAGGGGAGGCTGCTCCCATGCTGGGTCAAAGCCTGCAGTTGGAGAGGGCCTCCGGCCTGGTGAGGGGGACGCCTGCCAGGTCATTGACCTCTTGGCAGGTGGGGTAGGCTTTCAGGGAGGGGTCCGATGCCCCCTAGGGGAAGGGGGAGGCCTGTGGTGGGGGCTCCCAGGGCGCTGCAGCAGAGAGACAGGGAGGGGGCAGGAACTAAGTAAATCCCCATAATCTAAACACACTGTGCCTCTCCCCACGGCATGGGGGAGGGGAGGAAGGTGTCCTAGGAGATGATTGCTGGGGGTGCTGGGAGAAAGGGAAGAAATGAAGGGGTCCCTTGAGTTTACCTGATAATCAGGGGTTGTCCCCGTAGTCATCACATCATAATAGGGGGGCTTGTAGTCATAGTAGAGAGACTCAGTGGGCTGGGATTGGGGGGTGGGCATAGACAGGAAGGGGATGGGGTAATTGGAAGGTGTGGGGTGAAGGGCGGGAGAGGGAGATATAAAGATGGTGTGGGAGTTGGGAAACGGGGGAGGTGTGGAGTTGGGAAACAGAGAGTTGAAGATGAAAGGAGAGGTTGAGGGTCAGGAGGGAGGTGGGGAGAGGTGGAACAGAGGGAAGGGGTTCCACATGTGGGGCAGAAGCAGACATGATTAAGAGATTGACCCTCTGATCTTTAGACCACTGACCCCAGAGCCTATCTGTATTCTAACTCTCCAGACCCCATCCAACCCAGGCTCCCTTCCCTTCCCTTCCCTTCCCTTCCCCCTACTACCTCCCCTTTTCCTGCCCCTCCAGGTAGGTGGGGGCCAGAGACTGGGTTCCCCACTCCCACACTTCTGCAGACCCACCCCTCCTTTGATATTCCCTCCATCCCTACTCCTTCCCATTCCTCCTCCTTGGTCTCACCATCCCGACTGCTTTCTCCTGGCTTCAGTCCCCTCTCCTACCTGCCTCCCCAGCTCTCACCCCTCTCCCACTGTCTCCCAATCTCTTAATTCAAAGAAGGAAGGGAAAACCCAGGGACACAGTTCCAGGAAGACTGGAAGAGGAGACGCAGAGCAGGGAACACAGCTCCCAGCCACAAATTCTTCATAACAACTCTTTTTATTTTTAGATGAAAATAAAAAGGCTGATGAATGAGGACTAGGAGGAGGGGGTGATGGGAATAGGGAGATGAGGGTGGGGAGGACAACTAAGGAGGAGAGATGCCTGGGTGTCTTCCCTCTCTGGGGTGTGCTGCACTTGGGGGTTCTCCCAGCTCCCTCACCTGGCTCTGGGGTTCCTGATTTTGTGGCCTGTGAAGTCTTGATGGTTGCTGCTGTGGAGATCTCTGGGCTCTGTGAGGCTGTTGGTTTTGGGGTCTTTCCCTCTGGCCCCCCTCGCATTCCAGCTCCTTCTGTTCACATGATTCATAGGCTGCCTGGACCCCTGGGACAATGGCCAGCTCCTGGACATCACCCTGCAAAGACATGAGAGAGATGGAGCGGAGAGATTCAGAGAGAGGCAGAGGGTATCATCCGGGAGAAAGAGTATAGGAGGCCAATCCTAGGTAAAACCCTAAGATGGGAGAAGGTCACTGTCAGTCCTCCATATGCATAGCCCTTTTCAGTTTTCAAGGGATCTCATAGGACCTTCATAACAACCAGGAAAGTTGGCAGAACAAGGATCTTTCTTTCTACCCATTTTTCAGATACGTTCCATTCAGAAAAGCCCAAAAAGGCAATGACTGCCCCAAGGTCACCCAGAGTGGCAGAATCAGGACCAGATCCCAGGCCTTCCAGAATTCTTTGCCTCCCCTCTGCGCTTTGTGGCAATGCATGAGCCCTTCCACAGTGGCTTCCAGAGACAGGGCTCAGCTTTAGATGCCTTGGCCTTCCAATGGCAGTGATGATGAGAATTCTCTGGACCTCTAGAAATGGAGTGGGGAGAACCCATTCCTGAGTTCCAATGGCATTTACTTTTGCCCACACATGGTGCTTAGCATACTCTCCATTGCACCGTAATTTAGGGATGTTGTCTCATTTCCAGAGCCCACCTGGGAGCTCTTGGGGGTGATAGAGACTTTATATTCTCTTCTTTGTTCTCCTTGTCCAGCAGGTATTCAGAAAATGTTGACTGGCTTGGAGGGTGAATGGAGGGATGGGTGAATGGAGGGATGGATGAATGGATAGATGAGTGGATGGGTGGCTGGGGGCTTACATGCATTAATGAATGGGAGCATTGATAAATAGTGAATGAATAAATGTACGTATGGGAGGGTGGACTGGTGGGCAGATGAACAGGGGTTACAGAGTAGATGGAAGCAAATGGGTGAATAGGTAGATGGGTGAACTTATGTGGGTGAATGACTGGTCGGATGGGAAGTAAGTGGGTCAGGAGATGGGTGAGTGAGTATATTGAAGGAGGGAGTGGTTGAGTTGGTGGAAGGATAATGGATAGATGGTGGCTGAATGGATGCATGCATCCTTGTGTGCATGGGTAGATGGGGAGGGTGGGTGGGTGAGTGAATAGCTGGATGGAGGAGTTGAAGAGGATAGATGGGTGGAAGCATAGATGGGTGGTTTGAAGGGGAGAGTGGTTAAGCAGGGGGAGGATTGACAGGTGGGTGGATATAAGCCTTCATGCATGACTAGGTGGGCGTGTGATGCATAGATGAGTAAATAGATGGGGGAGTGGGTGGTGGATGTGTGCATAGGTTGGCTGAGGAGTGAGTGAATTGATGGGTGGGTGAGGAGAGAGAGGGGTTGAAAGGATGGATGGATGAGGGAACTGATGAAGACTGAAGGACAGAGTAAGTGGCTGTGGACAGTCCTGCCATATAGGTAGGCATCTAGTTCTCCTGCAGAGAACAGTAGCCCTGAAGATAGAAAATAGAAATGAAAATTCATAAGAAAAAAAAATGAAGGCCTAGGGAATAGGAAGATGACATGCTGGGGCCAGAAGGGTAGTGGGCACAAGATAGGGGACCAGAAGTCAATCCTGCCTCTGATTGCTCTGGTTACCTCAAAGACTTCTTCATCCAGAATACGGGCACCAAAGATGATCACTCCATGGGTGTCCAATACTGGACGAGCACTTCGGGGGAGAGGCCGGGTGACTCGCTTCTTGCAGTCAACAATGAGGGTGACAGACTGGCCCTTCACAGCCACAGCCACACGGTGCCACCTGGAAATGGTGGAAGAGGTTCAAGTGAACTCTTGGCTGACTGAAGTAGGGGAGTCAACATGGTTGGAGAGCAGTGATAAGAGTTGAAGCCAATGGTGATAAGAGCAGTAATAACAATGGCTACCATTTATTGAGTGTTTACAGTGCACCAGACACCATGCCGTCACTTTCTTATTTGTGCCAATTCTATTTAATGTCTATTTTACAGATGTAGAAACTGAGGCTCAAAAATTTTAAGTAACTTGCCCAAGGTACAGGCTAGTTCAACATGCAGAGAAGGCTGTACACTCTAAAGCCCAAACTCTGGACTAGAAGTGACTGAAGTTTGGGCAGTGGGTAGGTGTGGTGTGGCCCAAAGGGTCTCAAGGGTTTCACAGTTTAGAGTGTAGGGGTTTGGGGGCACTTCCTCCTGAAAGTGTGGGCCAGGCAGACCAGAGGAGCAAACAAACTTACTTGCCATCTGCTAGGCTGAGGCCTCGGAAGACTGGCTGAGAGGGAGGTTGAGGCCGCCCAGTCTGGTCTTCATACAGGAAGCGGACAGGTGGGCCCAGCTCCAGGCCCAGCTGTCGGACACCCTGGGCACTGTAGAGAGTCAGGAGGGGAGCTTGGAGACCAGGGCGGGTCCGGACAACAGTCAGCAGAGAGAAATCTTTGGGAAATCCTCCTAGTAACCGAGAGAGATACACACAGAGTGAGAGGCAAAGGGAGCCGCCACAACCCCTTTCCTCCTGGTGTCTGATCCTAGGCCCCATCCCATTACCTCCCCCCAGGCCTACCCCACCATGTCACCCATACCTGGGAAAAGCTGGCGAGTGGGTGCACTGAGCTGGGCAGGTCGTGCCACTCGGTAGGCCACATCAGCTGGACAGATGCCTTTCGCTCTCCGGACACCATCAGGGAGGGAGGGGAACCTCAGGGCCCGGAGCACATCCACAGGGGGTGCACCTGGGAGAGTCCATGATTATCAGGAGAAGGGACATGCCCTCAGGAGGGCATAAATAGGGGACATTTGGGATCTAGAACTCAGCTTTCCAGGGCTCAAACTCCCTGCAAGGGAAAGGTCACCTCACCCTCACTTGCTTCTGAACAGTACCTGAATGGATGGGAAATGCAAAGGTACCTGGAGGCAGGGCAGCATCAGCTGGCATTCAACCCCATGACACTCCTGCCCCTGTCTCTCCTAGCATCTGCCTCTCTTACGCTCTCTCTTTGTCTTTTAGCTTATGAATCTGTCTCTCTCTGTACTCTCTGAATACTTCTCTCAACTCTTCATCTGTCTCCTGTCTCTCTCACTCTCTTACTCTCTCTGTCTCTTTATGTTGGTCTTTCTGTCTCTGTCTCTTCTGTCTTCCTCCATTTCTCTCACATTCTGTCCATCTTTTTCTCTCCCTCGCTCTCACTCTCTTTCCATATCTCTCACTCTCTGGGTCTCTGGCATCTGTCCCGTCTCCAGCACAAACAACATCTGGGCAATCGATCATCCTGGACACAGGAGGTGCAGGGGGGCCACGAGGAAGAGATCAGAGAAGCAGCTCTATGAGAGGGGCTTCAAGCAGCTACAGATCCCAGGTTTGGGGGATGGGGTGGGAACAACCCTGAGCATGCTGAGGAAAAAGATACAAGAAAGCTCTCCCAGGAGTCTGTGCCTCCTGGTTTAGGAGATGAGTTGGGGAGGGGTGGAGGAATGGGGGGCAGGGGCTGAAGCTGCCACGAGGATCCGGAACAGGTCCAGGGCCCTGAGCCACACATCTGTGGATCCCATCAGAGTGCTTGCCCAGAACCCAGGCAAGCTCCCCACACCTGGAACCTCAATCCTGTCTCACCACCCCCACCAACCCCACCACCTGGGACCCAAAGATTCAAGATCCAGCCCACCAGCCCTGTCTACCTAGAACTCAGCTTCCTAGGGCTCAAACTCCCTGGAAAACAAAAGATCACCTTGCCCTCACTTGCTCCCCTATACACATACTCTTCACACCATCAGCTCCAGATTGGAAAAATCCCAAAGAGAGTTCCAGCAAAACTTTCATAGAAGTGTGGGGCAGGGCAGAGGCCAGAGCAATCAGGAGAGTGGAGCTGGGTGGGGTGGGTGAGGTGGGGCGGGCAGGCAGAGAAAAGGCCCTTTGAGTCCAGGAGCCGGGAAACCACGGCCTTCCCCCCCAACCCCCACCTAAGCCTGGCCCCTGCGCGTGTGGCAGCTCCGCAAACACCAACACACAAGGGCCGCTTTGAGAGACGAAGGGTGAGTGAGACAGAGACACAGAGACTCACAGAGACCCCAGGCCAAGGAGACCTCGGAGGTCCCCACCCTCCACCAAATCCCAAGGGAGTACAATTCGATCATATGGACAACCTACCCACAGGTCCGCCCACCATCTTCCCACACCAGGCCACATACTTGCCCCCCTGTATCCAGCCTCATCTGCCCCACAGGCTCTCCACTGGTAGCCCCATTACCCTCCACCACTCTACCTCTGGCCCCCCAAATGCCTTATTCTCTAACCTTAGGAATTCTACAGTAACTCATTTCCCTAAAGTCCCATCTCTACCCACTCAGCCCCTGAAATAAGAAACAGTCATCTTAGCCATCCCCCTGCCTCCATGCCAGAGGATCCCTCTTCCCCCTAAGAAAGACTCCTAGAGTCTACAGGCACCATACGCCTCAATTTCCTGGCCCTGGGCTTCACTGTCCTCACATCTTGGAAGTTCTTCCTTCTGTAATCTAATCTAAATCTTTTGTGCTGCCATTCTGACCATTTTCTCTCTAAAGCAGAGAAGAATTGAATAGTCAAGTTAAATATAAATCAGCCCTCAGTGTCTCCAGAAATGGGCTTTTTCCAGCCTGCTGAGGACCTGGTGCTCACAGCCCCCTCCTTGACATCAAATCCCCTTTCCTAGAAGCCAGGAATTCTGGGTCCTGGGAAAAAGAAGGAAAAGATCAGGGTTGTGGGCACCAGGGTCCCAGGGGAGCCTGGCTGGCCAGAGGGAGGAGGGGCTAGGCAGGAATGCAAAGAGTTGGCTCTGGCCTCAGACACCTGATCCTGGCCTGTCCGGAGGGCCGTCCTGTTGGCAGCCAGCCCCAGTGCTCCCCAGAGCCAGCTGCGTGGCAGCATCGAGGGCACAGGGAGGGGGAGGGGGACCCTGTCCAGGAGGCCAATGAGACAGGTAGTCAAGGCTTCCTTTCTTTCTGGGCTTACTGGGCTCTGCTCTGAATCACAGGTGCTCACCCCTTATCCCAGAGATATCGACAGAAAGGCCATAAGACACACACGCCTCACCCATCAACATTGGCGTCTACCATCCCCACACCAGCAATGACTGGACCGGGCTGGCCCTGGCCATCTTCAGCTCTTCCCAAGGACTCAAGACAAGCATCCATCCCCATTCAGGGTCTCTAAAGTGGTCCTCCACCTTTCAGCCCTATCTGCCCTCCCCCAGTCACTTCAAGGACAAAGAGATTCCTACCCTGATGCCAAGGAACACAGGTGTCCTGCCCTCCAGCCTGTAGCCTTGAAGCCCCAAATCTCCTTGTTAGACTCAGAAGCTGCTGCCCCAGGCATCAGCTGGCCCCTTCCCAGAGACACTCAGAGCTCCAGCCTGACTCCGAGGACCCAGGCATCAGGACTCCTCTTACCTGCCCAGCCTGGGGCCGCGCTCAGCCCCAGCACCAGAGGTAGGAGGAGGAGGAGGCGATGGCAGCGGCTGCACCGCTCCATGGCTGAGAAGCCGAAACGCCGGGTCCCAGGGACCCAGGTCGGCCTGAGACGCTGGATGCCCTGAGGCTGACAGAAGACAGGGAGCAGACTATGAGCCTCAGACGCCGGGGTCCCAGGGAGGTCAGAGGCTGCGGGCAGCGACAGCTGTCAGCGGCCCAGCTCCATGCAGCAAGGCGCCGTCGGGGCTCCCGGCACTGCTCCCTCCTCGGTGGCTGCCGCTTCTGTGTGTCCCCGGCCACCCTGGCGCCCAGAGCCCCCACCTCGCCCCCGCCCCCGGCCCGGCCCCCGCCTCCAGCCGCCCGCCCACAGCCACCGAAGGGAAACCCCACCCTCAGTCTCCACCTGGGGAGGGAGGCGGGAACCCTCCCTCTATCGCTCGCTCTCTCCTGCCCCTTGTAGGTCTCAACGGCCTGTACCCTAAGATTCTCTTTTCGGGAACCCCAATATCTTCCCTAGCCCCTTCCTTTTCTAGGACCCAAACGTCCAGTCACACACACTCCCTCCCATTCCCTCCCTCTTGGGGGCCCAGAGCCCCCTTTCAGCAGAGGCCTGGGCGGGATTTAGGGCACAGTGGGAGGGGGAGAGGCGGGCCTGGGGGTCGCAGTCCCCACCCCACCCATAATCAGGTCTCCATAATTACTTCCCTCACCCCGCCCCGTGTAATTACAGAGCCGGGCCGGGGCGGGGGTATTTATAGACAAGGCTATAGATAGCGACGAACTGGGGCGGGGGATGTGGGGGAAGGTGTTCTACGGAGAGCAAGAGGCCAGAGACTGGGACCCACCGACAAACACAGGATAGTCAGGTCCAAGGAGATGCAAATGGGGGACGCGGTTAGGGAGTCCCAGAGCCGAGGTAGAGGGGGAGCAGTGGTAAGATGAGCGAGCAGTCGACTCTGGTTGGAAGGGTCCAGGGAAATGGGGTCACTCGGGGACGTGGGCCGCCTCCGGGCGGGCAACGCCTGAGAAGCACGCAGCGCTCGGCGCCCAGTGCGCCCCCACGAGCGGGCACGGCGCCGGGTCTGCCCGGAGCCCGCAGCGCGCCCGGAGGGAAGGCCGCAGCGAGCCGAGGCGCCGCCGCCCGCTGGCGCGGAGAGGGCACGAGCGAACAAGGCGCCTTTGAGAATCCACCGCCCCCCCTTCCTCCTCCGGCCGGCCCCGCCCCCAGCCTGGCACACCCTCTCCCCCCCTCCCCGACAAAGCTTGCCTTGTGTCCCCCACCCTGCGTGCACCTCTTGGGCCCCATGGAACCTCGGCGGCGGCGTCCAGGGATCGCGTCCGGAGCTCCCAACCGGATACCCCCCCCAAGCCCGAAACGGCGCTGCCCATCCTCATACAGTCACCTCAGTCCAGAAAACAGCGATTTTAATTTGAAAGCGATTTTATGTATGAGAGGGGAAAGGAGCCCCAAAGAGAAGGGACGCAGGGCAAAAATCATGCAGCCCCAGCACCCCACCTCTGCGGGCTGGCCACCTCCCCTCAATTCTCAGGCCAGGATCCTGTGTCCCCAGCCTATGCTATGTGCCCAGGGCTGGAGGAGAGCTGTAAAGGGAAGGCCTCCGGGACTACACTCGTGAAACCATCCCCTGTGGGGGCCCTGTCCTCACAGCCCAGGCCCCTTCCCCAAGTTAGACAGGAAGAGATGGGGGGGGGCGGCGGGAAGCTGGGAAGGCTAGTGCTTGGAGAGCCCTAGGGACAGGCCATTTCAGGGCCCTGCCTTTCCCAAACACCCACCTCCACCACTGGCATTTCTTAGTCAACCTGGGAAAGTACAGTACTTCTTTGAGTCTAACTGCAAGTCTCTATCCTCACAGGAAATTAAAAATAGCAGATCGGTTCCTACATCTCCACCAGCCCCTTCACCACCACCACCACCTTTTTTATATTTCAGTCTGACTGCAGAAGGAGGTGAAGTGTAAAAAGAGACTCTGGACAGTGACAGGGCCCCTCCCTCTTCCAGAGAGGCCCCCATCTGCCAGGTTTGAGAGGAGGAAGGCCTGTCAGGGCCCTACTCTCATGTCCATCAGCTTGGGAGGCCTGCCCCCCAGTATCCACCTCTGGGGGAGATCCCCATTTCCACTCTTCAGATGGGAAGCAAAATGAGGCAAGATGAGAAGGAAGCAAGGTCCTGGAGGCAAGGCCAGTGCTTTGTGCTGGGGGAAGGACAGAGGGTGAGAAATCACCCCAAATCATGGGAGACCCCGACAAATTCAGAGACTCAAGGCCACCGAAGAGAGACAACCAGTCCTCACAGGTATCTGGGGTCCCTTCCAACTTGGGATATCAAGCAGATCCCTTGGAGGGTTTATGTTCTTGGTTCTGCCCTGTACTTCTCACCCCATCAAGGTTCTGGGAACATGGCCCCCCACCCTGCCCCAGGGCTTGGAGTCCCTCTTGGATGTGTGCTCCTCCAGTGTGAGAAGCACCACGTCTGGGTCTGAGCTCAGGCCAGTTGATGGGGAGCCTCAAGCATCTCCATGAGGAAGGTGTCGATGGGGGTGTCACCAATGAGCTTGAAGAAAAACAGATGCTCTAGACACTTAAGGCCAATGGACCGGAGGGCAGGAAGACGTAGCAGCAGCTTGGCAAACCTGGGGTGGAGGTGGGAGAAGGGGATTGAGAGCTGGAAGCACACGGGCCCTGAACACATCCTCATAGCACTCCCCACCCCCAAGGGAGCCTCAGTGCCCCCCAGCCCCATCTCACCGTCCCTGCTGCTCAGGGTACTTCTGTTTGCAGTAGGTCTCCAGTGATGCATACACTTTCTCCCGCAGGACCTCCACCTCACTAGGGTTGGAGAGGCCCTTGGCATCTGGGATGGCAGGGAAGAGAGGAGGAAGAGAAATGAAGACAAACCAAATCAGGATGGCCATGCAGATGTGAGCCACAGGATGCCCCTTTTGGGCTGCACTTGCTTG
Source organism: Homo sapiens (assembly GCF_000001405.40). NCBI lineage: Eukaryota > Metazoa > Chordata > Mammalia > Primates > Hominidae > Homo > Homo sapiens. The sequence goes on from NT_167246.2 coordinate 4,614,630, forward strand.
CCCTTTACCAGAGGCCTGGCAAGGGAAGCAGGGCCCACTGGGTTTGTGGGATGGATCCGTGGATGTGGGTTTTTCCTCGGCCAGTTGGGAGATTTCCAGGTTGAGGGTCTTACTGAGGGGGATAGCTGGGTAACTTAGGAGTCTCGGAGAAGAGGAGGCTCCAAGGTTGCCTTGGCCTTGAGAGACAAAGGTAATCCTCCTCTTACCTGGATTAAACAGAATGATTGCCCTCAGGCAGCCAAGCTCTGTCTTGTCCATCCTCATGTCACGCATTTTGGACACTAGCTCTGTCAGCACCCTGGAGAGGGACCTGCAGGTCACTCAAAGGTCACAGCTCAGCCAGCCTTGGACACGGACCAGCCTATAGCCCCACCCCCTCTATCTACATGCCAGCCTAGCCGAGGGCCACTGACCGATCAAAGATGGCTCCTACTCCTGCTGAATGGGCTGAGTTGCGGTGCACGTGAAGACCTGTGGCAAGGAGGATGCCATCTCGAACATCAATGGATCGGTGTGAAAAGGAGGCAATGAGGAGTTCATTCCAGCCTGGGTGGGGCAGCAAGGGTCAGGAGCCAGAAATCAGGCCAAGGGATTCAAAGCACATCAGTGGAAGAGAAGGAGAAAAGAGGTGGCGAGGTCAGCAAGTTTGGCTCCCTGGGTACGCAAGGTAAGGCCACTGGGGTCACTAAAGATCGGGAAGTCAAAGAGGGGTCAAATGTCAAGAAGTCAAAGGGATCCAAGGTCACTGACCTGCCCGCAGCAATATGACCTGATCATCCAGAGGCAAGGAGGAAAAGTGTGGGATCCTCTTCGCCCACTCAACAAGCGTGAATAGCTGTTTGTCAGCTGCCTGACAGATGTTAGTCACAGGGTCATTTGGCTGCAGGGGACGGGGGTAAGAGTTATGGAAGATTTTGAGATATGCTGGGAGCCCCCTTGTAAGAGGCTTTTGACACCCCCTCCTTACATATAGTCTTCCTGTGAGCCCCATCCAAACCAATCCCTGTAAGTGAGTCTTCTCTTCTGGCATTAGTGCAAACAATTATTTATTTGGGACATGCCTATGGTTCTGCCAGTGGGTTGTTTGGGGAGTGGAGACAGAAGGAGCTATCACATCCACCTCAGATGTTTGAAAGACCTTGTTTGGCAGCACCTCCAGTCCCAAGTAGTGTTAGGAAGGTTATGAGGGGAAAGGAGGGGGAGGGGATGTAGAACAGACCTAGACTGCCTCCCCCAACCCCCATCACGAAGGAGAGTGGATTGACCCCAACACTCACGCTGCTGCCGCTACCCCCGGTTCCCCCAGGACCCTCAACGCCCTGGTCACTCTTCTGTTCCACAGCAAGCTCTGCCTCCAGGATCCTGTCCACAGGCATCTCCTCGGGGGCTCCCCCAGCCCCCTCCCCATCCCCATCCTTGTCCTTTCCCCGCTGACGCTCCTCCTGTACCGCTGCAGGGGGAAGGGGGAGAGAAAAAATGGAAAGTCAGCAGCCAGCCATGAAGGGGTTCCACAAATATCCTTACGGCCTCATCAGGATCTCATGGCCCTTGGGAGATATTTATAGGAATTGGGGAAGTCACTAGAAAGGGTGGACTGGGGGCAGCCCTGAAGGAAGGGTTATAAAAGGGCAGGTAAGTCAGTCGGGAAGGGTGAGGTAGGTAAAAGAATTAGGGAGGAATTTAAATGGAGAGCCTACTACATGGTTAAAAAAAACATGCCAAGATTCAACCTGAGAAAGCTGATTGAAAAAAAAAATTTTTTTAAATAAAATATGCCAAGAAACATGCTAAGCACATTTTAACATTCACTCAATTATCATAATGATGCTGGAAGCATTTATTCTCATTTTTAAGATGAAGAACTCGGGGTTCAAAGAGATTAGTTTGCTTAAATTCATATAATACATGGCAGGTCATACAACTGACTCTAAGTGTGTCTGAGTGCAAATCTTGTGCTCTTCTGACTCAACAAATAGGCAGTGAAAGGAGCACTGGCCTAGGTCTTTGAAGATGTGGGTTCTGATCCCAAACCTGCCTGCCACTCCTTTGTTGCATGACCTTGGGAAAGCCAAGCCTCAGGCTCATCTTCTCTAAAGTGGGTGTTTTGACCAAGATATGCTCTAAAGTGTCTCTCAGAATCCTAGGAATCTGACTTAAGAAGATAAGATGGAGACACAGAAGAAGGAAGGGAAGCCCTGAGGTCTTCAGTAAAGTCTGTAAGCTTAAGAGTGCCCAGTCCCAGGAGTTAGAGGAAAGATCACAGATAACAGGAGACAGAGACCAGAGAAGGTCCATGGAATCAGAGGAGGAACCACTCAGGTTAGAAATGGGGAGACAGCCCATCATGGCTAAGGAAAAGTTATCCTATCCTAGGATCAGTCTAGGGAGGGGTCATATGTGCAGGCCACAGAGGCCTAACCATTAAGAAGGAAACTCAAGGGCCAGAACAGGGTAACAGGGAGGAGAGCTGCGAAGGGAGAGAGAAATCAAATATCGCCCTCTAGAGGAGAGAGAGCAGTCCACCCTTCCAGAGAGGTACACAGTCTGAGTGGGATAAGGGAGAAGGGCATGTGGTCTAAGACGCCTGGGCAGGGCGGGTCCTTACCCTCCCTCTTCATGCCAGTGGCCAGGCACTTCTGATAGCGGCAGTACTGACAGCGGTTCCGCTGGCGCTTGTCCACTGTGCAGTCTTTGTTGTCCCGGCAAGAGTATGTAAGGTCTTTGCGGATGGTGCGTTTGAAGAAGCCCTTGCAACCCTCACAGCTGTAAACCCCGTAGTGTTTGCCTACAGGGAAAGGGGAGGAGCAATAAGAAGGTTGCATGGAGACACCTTCACCATTTAGTCTGTTTCCAATCTCCCCCTAGCAAAACTTAAAGTCCTCCCTGTTTGCCAAATACAGAGATAGGGAACCAGGAGCTGAGTGATGATCCAGTCCCAGTCTCCTCACTGTTCAGAAACCCTACACGCTGCTTCCTTTTCCCTCTGACCTTCCCCCCAATCGCGTCCTACATCTCAGCTTCAGCTTCTTTACTCCCATCAGGCCTCCCCCAGGTCACTTGCTCTGACCAAACTCCATAAGCCCTGGGAATCCCACAGGTGATGATACATGGCCCAGACTCTCCCTCTCTGTTCATCCTCTGAGCCACATACCTGAGCTTCTGTCCCCGCAGATTGCACATAGCCGTTTGCCAGCCCCAGGGCCACCTGGAGGGGGTGGACAGTGCAGGCCCCGGACCCCTAAGACTGGTGGCTTCACATCTTCAGGGGGGCCAGACCCACCCCCAGGGAGTGACACTGTTGAGTTAATCTGGGATGGGGGAAATAGGGAAGTCACAGGAAGACTTATTGGGAAGCAGAATGTCACAGAAGTGATGGAAATCATTCCCTACCACTAAGCAAGGCCCTGCAATGCACATTCCAGAGGCTGTCATTTACACTGCAGTCTATGTGAAAGGCCATCCCTGGAGCACAACCCCAAAGTGAATAAACAGGCCCCCCCTGAAATTGTGCAACACAGTGACCCTGAAGGGCAGGTGTCTTGGGAAAGCAGATGGGATCAAAAGGGCAGAAAATCAGATAGATGAAAAGGACATCAAGAATATCAGAATTAGCCGGGCGTGGTGGTAGGCACCTGTAATCCCAGCTACTCAGGAGGCTGAGGCAGGAGAATTGCTTGAACCCAGGAGGCAGAGGTTGCAGTGAGCTGAGATTGTGCCACTGCACTCCAGCCTGGGCAACAGAGCAAGACTCCATCTCAAAAAAAAAAAAAAAAAAAAACACACACACACACACAAAAACAAAGAATATTAGAGTTCTTTTAGGGGAGGAAGCATGCACTGAAAGATCAGTCACCTCAGGAAAGGCAAGGGGTCTCATAAAGACCACAGGCCTGACAAGGTTAGAGGATTGGAAGGTCAATGGGCCATGGGGAAGTTCACACAAGGATCTGGGGTTACAAGGAAAACAAGAAAATGAAAGTGGCCAGGCAGTAAGTTGGTCACAACCTCTCACCTGGGGGCTGCTGACAGGCCCGGAGAATCCTGGGGGAGCTGGAGGGGGCAGACCAGGGGACCCCATGGAAGAACTGATGACTGGAAAGGGAGAGCCCAGTGGGGGTGGTGGCATCGGGGGTGGGGGTGGGGCCCCAGAGCCTCCAAGGGATGGAGCTGTTGAAGGGGGTAGGGGTGGCCCAGGAGGAGAAGGGGGAGGGACTCCCTGGGGAAGGGGATTTGGGGAGGAGCTGTCTGGGCTTCGGGAGTCTGAGGGAGGGGTATGTACAGGCACACAGACACACAAGAGACAGAAGAGACAAAAAAAGAAAATGAGTCTTCAAACATCCAACTAGAGACTTTAATTCTCTAATACCCCACCGTGCCGGACCCAGCCCACTCCACCCATCCCCAAGTTCAGAGACACCCTGCTGTCAAACAACAGTGTAACTCCGGCTGGTCCGATGGTAGTGGGTTATCAGAACTTATTAACATTTGTGTCACTAAAATTGGTATACAACCTCCCACTGCTATATTTGACTGGCTAAAAAAACCCAAAAACAGCGTAACTCCTCATTGTGGTGAGAGGAGGGAGTTGACAAGGAGAGGAGGATAGTTCAGGTGAGGAAAATTTTCCAACCAATCCATTTGAATGAATACCAGGTCATCCCAAAGCCACACCTGTCTCGTGGGTGGGGCAGCACGTGGGGTAGACCATCGAGCCCCTCTATTCCCAGCGTAAAGCCAGGTAGCCAGAGCGTGCAAGGGAAAGAGACAGGCAGGAGAGACCCCTCCTAAGACGCAGGATCTGCCTGTAAACGCCCAAAGTCCTGAGGTTTAAGAGGAATCGTGCCCTTCCCAGGCCCGCGACCTCCGGTGCCCAAGGCCTCAAGCGGTCACAGCTAGGAGGGCGGAAGCTCCCCTTCCCCGCCCCGCCCCGGGGGGGAGGGTGCTAAGGCCCTCGGGAGGGAGGGGACGCGTGTTTACAAACAAGGGGGCGGGAGCGCAAGGAAAAGAGCACCGGGGGAGGGTGTGGGGGAGGGGTCGCAGATAAAGCGGTCACTGGCTCGCCTGCCCTTCTGCTGGGGCACTCACCCCGCCCGCTGTCGCCCATCCCGTCCCGTCCAGCCTCCCCTGGCTCCGGCTCCGGGGTTTGTTGTTCTCCGCCTGCCACCGCCGCCGCCGCCGCCGCTGCGGGATCCAGCCAGGGCCGTCGCCGCCGCCACCGGGACGCGACCCCACAATGCATTTCTTTTCGCACCCCCACCGGCCCACACTGCCCTGCGGCATGCCGCTGAGGGAGGAAGGGCGGGCGAGCGGCCCAAGACATGATCCCTGGCTGAGAGTAGGGATACCGAAGAGGTCCCAGGGATTCCCAAGGATTGATCGGAGGATTAGCTGAGCACGAGGAAGCCCCTGAGAGAAAGACTCTGGCCTGGATTGGGTCGAATTAAGCCCGTCGCTCTGCTCAGTACCAAAATGACAGCGCCAATGTGGCAGCCATCTTTGTACAGACGGGAAGTCTCGGCGCGAGTTCCCGCCCCCTCGTCTAGTTGGAAACCGAGGAGGCGGTCTCCTCCGGCCTGTTAGCCCGCCTCGCCCACCCTCCCCTCAAATCACCTCCACACTCGCGCATGCGTGTCAGTGCAGGATGGATTCGTCGCTACCGGAGTGCCGCCATATTGGTAAAGGCATTAGGGCGAAGGTGGAACGGAACTTCCTGTTCTCGCGGGATCTAAAGGCGGGACTGCCACGTCCAAGCAAACCGGGAAAGGAGAGGATCCCGGAGCCGGTGAGAATTCTCTGTTTTTTCTCTACCATCCTTTCCAGGCCTTTTCCTCACCTAATGAGTCGTAGAGACGAGGGCCCAGAGAGTCTGTAAAGTGGCTGGTGAAAGATTAGTGTCCCAGGGCCCTACATCCGGGAGGTGGTTCGGGATAAAGAGAACTAGTCTTGGGAACAATGTAGGTGGGAACTTAAGGGAATGGGAGAGCGGCCCATAGAGGTGGACGGAGGGCGCGATTGGAGTAAAGCGGACCCTGTGTAGGTATAGAGTTGAGTCAAGTGGAGTCACTGCCTCTGTCCCTCTGGTCAGCGTGATGGCCAGAGGCCTGGGGGCCCCCCACTGGGTGGCCGTGGGACTGCTGACCTGGGCGACCTTGGGGCTTCTGGTGGCTGGACTCGGGGGTCATGACGACCTGCACGACGATCTGCAAGAGGACTTCCATGGCCACAGCCACAGGCACTCACATGAAGATTTCCACCATGGCCACAGCCATGCCCATGGCCATGGCCACACTCACGAGAGCATCTGGCATGGACATACCCACGATCACGACCATGGACATTCACATGAGGATTTACACCATGGCCATAGCCATGGCTACTCCCATGAGAGCCTCTACCACAGAGGACATGGACATGACCATGAGCATAGCCATGGAGGCTATGGGGAGTCTGGGGCTCCAGGCATCAAGCAGGACCTGGATGCTGTCACTCTCTGGGCTTATGTGAGTCTCCAGGGGATGGGAGAGAGAAGGGCTGGTTCTGGATTGTTGGGAAACTCCACAGTACTTGACCTTGACTCTCCCTCACCAGGCACTGGGGGCCACAGTGCTGATCTCAGCAGCTCCATTTTTTGTCCTCTTCCTTATCCCCGTGGAGTCGAACTCTCCCCGGCATCGCTCTCTACTTCAGATCTTGCTCAGTTTTGCTTCCGGTGGGCTCCTGGGAGATGCTTTCCTGCACCTCATTCCTCATGCTCTTGGTAAGTAACCTCTGACTTCTACCTCAAATCTAACCTATTTCGTTCTTTGGAGGAAAAGGGTTCTTTCTCCTTTATGATCCCTGACCTTTCGATATTCCCCCAAATACACACTCATTGTGTCAGATATTCCCTCATCTGGTTTTCCCCCCTTCTTCCAGAACCTCATTCTCACCACACTCTGGAGCAACCCGGACATGGACACTCCCACAGTGGTGAGGAAGAGACAGATGGGGATGGGAGTTGGGGTGCTGGGGAAGGTCCGTCTCTCCCTATTCCTCACCTCCCGCACTTGAGGAGGAGGAGTCTGGAATGCACATCTCCCTTAATGTCTCAATGCCTCCATTCCCAGGCCAGGGCCCCATTCTGTCTGTGGGACTGTGGGTTCTCAGTGGAATTGTTGCCTTTCTTGTCGTGGAGAAATTTGTGAGACATGTGAAAGGAGGACATGGTCACAGTCATGGACATGGACACGCTCACAGTCATACACGTGGAAGTCATGGACATGGAAGACAAGGTGAGCCCAGGAACAACTTTCCTGAAAGCTGACTTGCCTGCCTCAGAATCTCCTCATCTTATGGCCCTCAGGAGGGAGAGGACATGTTGGAAGATCTGTTCTCCACTCTGACCAACTCTTTTCTTCCCTCAGAGCGTTCTACCAAGGAGAAGCAGAGCTCAGAGGAAGAAGAAAAGGAAACAAGAGGGGTTCAGAAGAGGCGAGGAGGGAGCACAGTACCCAAAGATGGGCCAGTGAGACCTCAGAACGCTGAAGAAGAAAAAAGAGGCTTAGGTAAGGGCCAGAGTTGGTGATAAATTTGGGCAAGGGACATCATCACAAATCACATGGAATATGTGCTGTGGGTAATGGCAGGTATCTGAGAAACACTAAAGGACTGGGTGTAAAGTGGTCTCTGAGGGGAGGTGTGAGAATAGCTGACCAAGACTGGAACAAGTGGTGATGGAAGCCTCTGATCATTTTCTCTTCTTGTCCTGTACAAGACCTGCGTGTGTCGGGGTACCTGAATCTGGCTGCTGACTTGGCACACAACTTCACTGATGGTCTGGCCATTGGGGCTTCCTTTCGAGGGGGCCGGGGACTAGGGATCCTGACCACAATGACTGTCCTGCTACATGAAGTGCCCCACGAGGTCGGAGACTTTGCCATCTTGGTCCAGTCTGGCTGCAGCAAAAAGCAGGTTGGTGATGTCTGCCAAACACAGCTGCCTCAAACCCTTTATCTCTCCTCACTCACCCTAAACCCAAACAGCCTCTTATTAGTTCCAAACAATTCATACTGTCATTGACAAGTCCTCTAGAAATGAGGGGGAAGAAGTTCTGGTTACTTTGTCCTTTAGCTCAGTATTTCTTAAACTGGTCTATAAACCATCTGAATGGTTTAGTGGAGTCTTACACACACACGCCTACTCAATCAGAAAGTCTGTGGAAAGGACCTCTGATCTCTTAAGATTTTTCAGAAATTGTCTATTCTAGACTGCTCCCTCTTCTCTTTTTATTTTGATGTTTAGTTTCCAAATCCATGTCCCCTATACCTATACCCCACCAGCCACTTCTAAACCACTGATAATCTTTAGCTATTGGTGAGTGCCTTTTTCTCTTTTCTGCCCATCAGGCGATGCGTCTGCAACTACTGACAGCAGTAGGGGCACTGGCAGGCACAGCCTGTGCCCTTCTCACTGAAGGAGGAGCAGTGGGCAGTGAAATTGCAGGTGGTGCAGGTCCTGGCTGGGTCCTGCCATTTACTGCAGGTGGCTTTATCTACGTAGCAACAGTGTCTGTGTTGCCCGAGCTGCTGAGGGAGGCATCACCATTGCAATCACTTCTGGAGGTGCTGGGGCTGCTGGGGGGAGTTATCATGATGGTGCTGATTGCCCACCTTGAGTGAGGGGTGGATAAACTACCCCTGCCCCAAACCTCTACCCCTAACTCCAGGTCAGGGGTGCGTAGAGGTTGGGGGCCCTGGCCAGGGACATCTGCCAAAGGAAGGAACTGTAGCCTGGGAGAATGGTTACTTTGGCATTAGGGCCTTCAAGGGCTGGCAGTCTTACAGAGGCTGGAGCGGTGAGAATGAGAGGCCAGAGGGACCATAGTGTTGGGCACTGTCTGACCATGTTGCATTTGGAAGGCTAAATGGGGCCATGAAGAAGGCTGGAAGGGACAGGGGGTGATGGCAGCCTACCTGGTGTCCCCTACCCCACCTGTTCTCGGAGAACCAAGTTGCTACACAGGAAGTTCTCCAAGGTCCAGTTTCCTTTCTCCCACCAGTTGGTGGAGGCTTCAGGGAAGACCAGAGTCCTGGACAGAGAGGGTAACAGGAGGAGTCGGGGATAAACATCAAACATCAATCGTGTGTCCTGATTTGGGAGTGATTGGGGGGATGGGGTGGGAGAGGGTTAGTTGGTATTCTCATGGCCTGATTTTTTTTGTTTCTATTCCTTTTATATCACTGTGTTTGAATCGAGGGGGAGGGGTGGTAACCGGAAATAAAGACCTCCGATCTTCCGCCCCACATGCAGTCTTTGTCTTTTTGGGGGGAATGGGGCCCCTTGTCTTCTCCACACCCGGGGCCCCTAAGCAGCAGTGTCGGGCCACGCCCCCTCGGTGGGAGGTCGGCCTGCGCTGGTGGCCGCAGATGGCCTAAGGCTGGCGGGCCTTTGATTGGCCCCGGCTTTGCCCTTGCCACGCCCCTCTGCGCTGGGATTGGCTTAGTGCTGGGATTCCCACCCACCCACAGCCCGCCATGGCGTCTCAGCTCCAGAACCGACTCCGCTCCGCACTGGCCTTGGTCACAGGTTGAGGGGGTTCTTTCCCCGGGCGGTTTGGGGTATTGGAGTGAGGTCAGGGGCGTGCCCTTGGAGTGCGCGGCCGCTGTGACCTCTGGCCCCTTACCCACATTTTACTTTCTGCCCTGTGACCTCTGATCCCTGCCCTCTCCTCCCCGTGCCCGGTCCGGCGTGTTCTGTCCTACCTCAGGTGCGGGGAGCGGCATCGGCCGAGCGGTCAGTGTACGCCTGGCCGGAGAGGGGGCCACCGTAGCTGCCTGCGACCTGGACCGGGCAGCGGCACAGGAGACGGTGCGGCTGCTGGGCGGGCCAGGGAGCAAGGAGGGGCCGCCCCGAGGGAACCATGCTGCCTTCCAGGCTGACGTGTCTGAGGCCAGGGCCGCCAGGTGCCTGCTGGAACAAGTGCAGGTGAACGCCAGGCCACTTTCCCCCTCTAAAGCTCTAATATTGCCTCCACTGCCCCGGCTTTTTGTGGGGGGTTTTTGATGCGTAACCTCCCCCTCCCATAGGCCTGCTTTTCTCGCCCACCATCTGTCGTTGTGTCCTGTGCGGGCATCACCCAGGATGAGTTTCTGCTGCACATGTCTGAGGATGACTGGGACAAAGTCATAGCTGTCAACCTCAAGGTGGCGATCTCTGAACCTGCGACGTTTGGCCCCCTTAGCCTGGGGAGGGAGTTGGAGGAGGGCTGTCACCCCAGCTGATCTTTTCTCCCTTGTTACCCTTTCCCGCCAGGGCACCTTCCTAGTCACTCAGGCTGCAGCACAAGCCCTGGTGTCCAATGGTTGTCGTGGTTCCATCATCAACATCAGTAGCATCGTAGGAAAGGTCAGGTTGAGTTGGACGAGGTCAGCCAGCCAAGTGGTATAGAGAGGAGAACCCCTCCTTGAGACTCCTGACTCATTCCACATCTCTGACTCACCTATAGGTGGGGAACGTGGGGCAGACAAACTATGCAGCATCCAAGGCTGGAGTGATTGGGCTGACCCAGACCGCAGCCCGGGAGCTTGGACGGTTGGTCAGATGCTTGAGGGTGCTGGGGAGCACCTGGGGGGTCTGAGGGAGGTACCAGCATTCAGCCCTCTCCAGAATCGGCAGCCACTCTCCTTCCCACAGACATGGGATCCGCTGTAACTCTGTCCTCCCAGGGTTCATTGCAACACCCATGACACAGAAAGTGCCACAGAAAGTGGTGGACAAGGTAGGAGGCTGTGGGTGGAGGGCAGAATCATTCAGAGACTCAATCTCTCTGGGCTTCACAGAGAGAGAGAGAGAGAGAGAGAGAGAGAGAATACTGGGCACAGTTCCTGGCAAACATTAAATATTCAATGAATGTATGAGAAATGAAGACAAAAAAGGGTCACAGACTCAGTCTTCAAAAAAATCCATAAAAGAAGCTTTCACCCACATGAGTATTTCCTTACAGATTACTGAAATGATCCCGATGGGACACTTGGGGGACCCTGAGGGTGAGCACTGAATGTAGTGGGGTCCCTGGGAAGGGGGCCTGAATGAAGAGATCCCCAAAGTTTGGGGATTTTCTAGGGGACTGGTGGTTGGTGTCTGTGGAGAGGTTTGTGGGGAGGGATGTCTTTGGTGGGAGATTATGGCTGTTTTGGGTCTATGGGAGTGAGCAGAATTCTGCCCTCTCCCCACCATTCTCATAGATGTGGCAGATGTGGTCGCATTCTTGGCATCTGAAGATAGTGGATACATCACAGGGACCTCAGTGGAAGTCACTGGTATGAGGCCAGCATGGGGAGGGAGAGGGCAGAGAAGTAGAACCCAGACTATATGAGAAAGCAAGTAAGGGGAGTCTGGAGCCACTGGGAAGGGCAGAGGTTCCCAAGGCCAGGGACAGAAGTGGGTACCCCCTAGCCCATTTGTGTCTCCACCCATGCATCTGTCCAAATGTTTCTGCCCCTCCCAGGAGGTCTTTTCATGTAACTGCCTCAAGGACCCTGGACTCTGCTCACCCCCCCACCACTCTGCCTGGCCTCCTGCTGATGAGGACTCTAAGTTCCCAGGATACAAAAGGGGTGGCAGTGTATGGTTCAGGAATGCTGAATATGGGAAGCAGGGGTGCTTGTGACCCTAATAAATTCCAAGTCCTCTTCCCTGCCACCTCCGGCTCTTCTTGTGTCCAAGCCCTCAGACCCTTCCCCACCTCCCCCTCCTTTCCCTTTCCCGAAGGATTGTTCCCTTTCTCTGCCTGGTCTCCCAGGGCAACCCCCGCCGCCGGGTGTGAGAGGAAAGAGTATGTGTCACTGTGTATGCGTGACACTCCGGGTCTTTTTGAAGGGAGGGGTTCGTGCGTCACCCCTTTCCACTGGTTCTGCAGCACCAGTCCCCTCCCCCCAACTCCCTGGGTTCTTATGGTCCCCAAGGGTGATTTGTTCATGGCCCCATCTTGGTGTCCAGTCTGGCCTTGAAAGGGGGTCTTGGAACAGGTGGCCCTCCCCCACCCCTCTCCTTTCTCTGAGTCCCCCCCTCCCCTTTCTCTCCACCTTACAATAGCTGCAGCCGGCCTGGGGTCGGATGGGGGGGATTAGGGGAGGGGGCCAGGATTAGGGGAATGAACCAGCCGATGAAAGGGGCTGGAGAGAGCAGGAGGGAGGGGGCTGGGAAGAGGAGGAGGAAGGGGAGGGGGGTCTGCGCTAATCGACTCTGGCGCCCACATAAGGACTGGCCACGGACTGAAGGAGAGGACAGGGAAGTAGGGGGGAACTGGGGTGGGGGGCGAGGGCACCCACTGCTGCCTTGTCCCAGGGACAGGCCACCCCCTGGCAGCCGCAGCCCAAGTCCGGGAGCCTCAGCTCGGGCGGGGACAAGATGCCCATCAGGGTCTCTAACTGCCCCCCACCCCCTCGCCCTGTATCCCTCTCATTCCCTACACTCAATGGGGATCGCTCTGCCCCTTCCTCTTCTCTTTCCTCCCCATCCCCTTCGTTTACTCTAGAGTCCTCGAAGAGGCTTCTGCCCACTTCCCACTCCAGACATTCTGCCCCTGTGTACCCCACCCACACGCGCACCCCCCCTTCCCAATGGGAGCTCCATCTTGTGTATGTCCCTGTTTCCGCGTGGTGTCTCCATTCCCCCTTTCCTCCCGTGCGCCTCCCTCCCTTCCCCGCCCCGGGCCGCGGCTCCTGATTGTCCAAACGCAATTCTCGAGTCTATGGCTCCGGCCGAGAGTTGAGTCTGGACGTCCCGAGCCGCCGCCCCCAAACCTCGAGCGGGAGAGCGGGTCGGAGGGTCTAGGGAGAGCCAAAGCAGAGGGTGGAGGGAGTCCCCAGGGTGGTAAGGGGAATCCCGGGCACATCGGGACCTAGGTGTGTTCTCAGGACTAGAAGGCTAAAGCGGCAGATCTTTTGCAGCCTTTTCCCCCGGGATCCTGGAATGGGGGTTACGGAGAAGTGAGGGGGGTTGATCCCCAGAGTCGCCAGGGTACGCAGAGTGGGGGAGGTAGCCCTTTTCACGAGCCCTCTGTCCCCTCCTGGGGTCCCAGATATTCCAGGCCCCGGCCCCCCGGAGCTGAGGCCCCGCGTGGGGGCCTCTGGAAGGGAACCGAGGCTAAGGTTGTTGGCCGCGCGACGGTGCTGGGCCGGGGGCGGAGACCGTGGTTCCCTAAGTGGCGCAGAACTCCCGGGACGCAGGATCCTCACGCGGGACGAGCCCGTCCCGTGGGCGGGAGAACCGCGGCGTCCACGTCCCGTCCCACCCGCGCCGCGAATGGTGGGTGACGTCTCCGCCGGCGGGGGGAGCGGGTGTAGCGGAGGAGCAGGCGGAAGTGACGTAGGGCCCCAGCGCCCGGGCCATGGCGGCGGCGGTGGCGGGAGCTGCTGTCTGAGCAGCGGTTGCGGACCGAGCGAACTTGGCCCAGGAGCCCGGGCCTAGGGAGAGGCGCGGCGGCGGCGGGAGCGCGAACGGCTGGAGCTGGGTGAGGGGCAGTGCCGGCGCGGGGGCGGGAGCGGGGGCGGAGAGGGGCGCTTCTGGAGGGGCGGGGTCTACGCGAGGGGCGGCCCCCCTGACGCCCTCCTCCCCTTCCCCCCACCCCCAGCCTTCTTCGCCTTCTCCTCGGCTGTGGAGCCCTGGTGGGGGGTCTGCGCCCGGTCACCATGACGACGCCGGCGAATGCCCAGAATGCCAGCAAAACGTGGGAACTGAGTCTGTATGAGCTGCACCGGACCCCGCAGGTGACAGGCATTCTCCCTTTCAGGCTTACCCCCTCCCCCAAACCCTTATATCCACAGACCGCATCACACAGCTTCTTTTCCGTAATTTGCTCTATTCTGCCTTGCCTGGCCCTACCTTTGAATCACCTTAATCTTTCCAAAGCACTTTCGCATTTAGCTCATTTAATCCTCAAAACAGCCCTGCCAGAGAGGTGGAACAAGTATTATTATCTTCATTTGAAAGATCACAAACACAAAAATTACCTTCCCTGTTCCTCATTCAGTGTCATAAGTCAGTGCACATAAGACTCACTTTGGGAGTTTATTAAAAGCAGAGCTTCATGCCCCCCAACATTCTGATTCAGTAGTGAATTGGGTTCTCAGAATCTGAATTTTTAACAGGCACCCTATGGGGTTCTAATACAGGTAGCACCAGGACTTTAAAAAATTTTGTTGAATAGTTTTTCCCAACCACAGATTTGTGCCATCTTCACTCCTAGGCCACTTAGCCACCTCAGATCCTCCTATTCCAAAGCTCCTACTCTTAGTTAATGGACACTAAAGTCTGTCTTTTCTCCATTTGCTCCAAGTCATCAGTCCTTCTCTTTCTCAGAATTCTTGTCTCCTATAGAGACCAACATGGGTCTTCTCACTGTATTTCTCAAAATTCTTATTTTATGGGCTGCTGTTTCTAAAACCCCTTTCCCTCTAACCCACACCACCTTTCTACTCACTGATGCCTTCAGGAAGCCATAATGGATGGCACAGAGATTGCTGTTTCCCCTCGGTCACTGCATTCAGAACTCATGTGCCCTATCTGCCTGGACATGCTGAAGAATACGATGACCACCAAGGAGTGCCTCCACAGATTCTGCTCTGACTGCATTGTCACAGCCCTACGGAGCGGGTAATAGGAGAGACATGTTTGAGATGAGATGAAGGGGTACAAAGTTAGGGCCCTCTCACTGGTCTTGGTTCAGCCTAGGCTTCAGTTCCCTTGACTGACCACTCAGGGCTTCCCTTCTCCTACCCCAGGAACAAGGAGTGTCCTACCTGCCGAAAGAAGCTGGTGTCCAAGCGATCCCTACGGCCAGACCCCAACTTTGATGCCCTGATCTCTAAGATCTATCCTAGCCGGGAGGAATACGAGGCCCATCAAGACCGAGTGCTTATCCGCCTGAGCCGCCTGCACAACCAGCAGGCATTGAGCTCCAGCATTGAGGAGGGGCTACGCATGCAGGCCATGCACAGGTGTGAGGGTCAGGAGAGAAGCAGAACTGATGGGATGGGTCCGTGGGTCAGTCCTTGTTGCCTGCTAGCTTCTAAGCCTCAGCATCCTAGGAGCTGACCACAGACTGATCATTAGGGCTGGAAATCATGGGTGTAAATTGCAGTTTCTTAGTAAACAACTGGCCCTGCTCTTCTTAAGAAAAATATAGGGCTGGGCACAGTGACTCACATCTGTAATCCCAGCACTTTGGGAGGTGAGGATGGGAGGATCACTTGAGCCCAGGAGTTTGAGACCACCTTGAATAACATAGGGAAATCTCATCTCTACAACAAATTAAACATTTAGCTGGGCATGGTGGCACATGCCTGTAGTCCTACCTTCTTGGGAGGCTGAGGTAATAGGATCACTTGAGCCTGGGAAGAAAGTGGATGTTGCAGTGAACCATGATCACACCACTGCACACTGCACTCCAGCCTGCTGGGCGACAGAACAAGGCCCTGTCACAAAAAAAAAAAAAGGAAAAATGTAGTTTACCCCATGACTTTCTAGAAGTTAGAACAGTAGAGCGATTTTGAGAATAAGCCCCGGATTCATACTGCTGGAAGTTAAATCACCTCCTAGGCCAGCATCTCTCAGTCTTTCATGTGTATCCAGATTACCTGTAGATCTTCAGATGCAAACTGTGATTCAGTAGGTCTAGAGTTGGGCCCGAGAGTCTGCATTTCACAAGCTCACAGGGGATGTGTATGCTGCTACCGCACTTTGAGAGGTGACAGCCTATGATCACTAACAAGTTACTTAACCTCTCTAAGCCTCAGTTTCCTCAGCCATAAAATAGAGGTAATATAATTACCTGTGTCATAGGATTCATTGTATTAGGTAAGGGGATTGGTGCAAAACACTTAGTATACTGAGTGCTTAGCACATTGTGTTTAATAAATATTAGGTATCGTCATTAGGATTTTTCTTATCTCTTAATTCTCTGAAGTTTAAAGTCTAAGCCCTTTATCCTGGATGCCTTCTAACCTTAACCACTTGCTTCTACAGGGCCCAGCGTGTGAGGCGGCCGATACCAGGGTCAGATCAGACCACAACGATGAGTGGGGGGGAAGGAGAGCCCGGGGAGGGAGAAGGGGATGGAGAAGATGTGAGCTCAGACTCCGCCCCTGACTCTGCCCCAGGCCCTGCTCCCAAGCGACCCCGTGGAGGGGGCGCAGGGGGGAGCAGTGTAGGGACAGGGGGAGGCGGCACTGGTGGGGTGGGTGGGGGTGCCGGTTCGGAAGACTCTGGTGACCGGGGAGGGACTCTGGGAGGGGGAACGCTGGGCCCCCCAAGCCCTCCTGGGGCCCCCAGCCCCCCAGAGCCAGGTGGAGAAATTGAGCTCGTGTTCCGGCCCCACCCCCTGCTCGTGGAGAAGGGAGAATACTGCCAGACGAGGTGAGGAGCCCTGTCTTTCCCCAGCCACTGAGAAACCAAAGATCACCTAGATTTCCATCAGAAGTGGGCTTTGCCCAAACCCAAAATACCACCCCAACCCAGAATCCATTTTGGAAAGCCCCTACCTCCAGTCCTCATCTGAGGCGCTCTGGCTCTAAGCCTGTCCTCCCTCCCATTCCAGGTATGTGAAGACAACTGGGAATGCCACAGTGGACCACCTCTCCAAGTACTTGGCCCTGCGCATTGCCCTCGAGCGGAGGCAACAGCAGGAAGCAGGGGAGCCAGGAGGGCCTGGAGGGGGCGCCTCTGACACCGGAGGACCTGATGGGTGTGGCGGGGAGGGTGGGGGTGCCGGAGGAGGTGATGGTCCTGAGGAGCCTGCTTTGCCCAGCCTGGAGGGCGTCAGTGAAAAGCAGTACACCATCTACATCGCACCTGGAGGCGGGGCGTTCACGGTGAGAGCTTCTGAGGGCAGTGGTAGAAGAGGGGAGAGGAGGGAGGGTGGTCTGGGCCACATAGAACCATGAGCCTGGTCTAACTCATCAGCACTCTTCCCCTATACATCCTCTATCTCTTTCTATGTCCCCTCTCCTTTCCCATCATCCATGTCCTTTTTTGCCTTATCGCTTTTATTATTCCTTTTTTCTTTCCTCCTCCCTTGGTCACCTTTTGCCTCTCATTCATTTCCTTTTCCATCTTCTCCAACTTTCCTCTCTCTTTTCCCCTCTCTCCCTTTTACCCCCTCCTCAGACGTTGAATGGCTCGCTGACCCTGGAGCTGGTGAATGAGAAATTCTGGAAGGTGTCCCGGCCACTGGAGCTGTGCTATGCTCCCACCAAGGATCCAAAGTGACCCCACCAGGGGACAGCCAGAGGAAGGGGACCATGGGGTATCCCTGTGTCCTGGTCTATCACCCCAGCTTCTTTGTCCCCCAGTACCCCCAGCCCAGCCAGCCAATAAGAGGACACAAATGAGGACACGTGGCTTTTATACAAAGTATCTATATGAGATTCTTCTATATTGTACAGAGTGGGGCAAAACACGCCCCCATCTGCTGCCTTTTCTATTGCCCTGCAACGTCCCATCTATACGAGGTGTTGGAGAAGGTGAAGAACCCTCCCATTCACGCCCGCCTACCAACAACAAACGTGCTTTTTTCCTCTTTGAAACCTGCAGTTCTGTGTGTCTGTTTATCAGGGGTGTACAAGAAAAAGAAAGGAAAATAGATTGGGGAGGGAGGCCTAGAAATAATGTAAAATCAGCCTTGGAAATGGGGAGAAAATGTCGGGTTATTCGAGATATGTCGTCGGAAACTCCAAATTAGCAAATATGTATGAAAATAGGAACCATCTATGAAGCTGGAAGAGAGGATAAAAAACAGAGGTGCCAAGTTAGACCCCAAACTTTCCCCCCTAAAACCTGAGTCGCCCAGGCTGAAATCCAGGGTTTCAACACCAAAGGGAAAGCAGGAAAATGGCTCAAAAGAGAAAGGGATGTGTGTAGATGTGGGAATGACCGTGATGTTTGGAAGTCACTGCGAGCAGCCGGTTTCTATAGCTGGAAAGAGGGAGGGAGGTGGAGAGGACTGCGGAGAAGCTCCCTGTTCGACATCCCAGTCCCCGGGCCACCTCCCAAAAAAGGGCAGGCTGGGCTGCAGACTCGGAGTGTGAGTGCACAGCCTTTGCCCGCCGGGCAGCGGGGCTGAGCGGAGGGAGGGTCGCCTGGGAACACTAGTTCTGTGCTCGTCCAGGCAGCGGCTGAGAGCAGAGGAGTGGGGGCATCAAGGAAAGCCGCGGCTGCCTTACTGGCCTCGAGTTCCGCGAGCGGGGCTGGGCACCAAGCCTGAGGCTGGGGGGACAGGGGCGCACGACTGCACTCCCGGTCCGGGGCAGTGCAGGTATTCGGGGAAGAGGAATCGCCTCTCCAGAACCGACTGCTGTTCCTTCCACCACCCGTAACCTCTCTGCCCCTCACTTCCTGTTTCCTCTGCTCTGGGTACCCCCAGCCCCTCTGGCCCCAAATTCCTCCCCCATGCTCAGTTCTCTGTCTCACTGGCAGAGGAGCCGGCCGTGTTTCCCCCTAAAGCCCGCTTGGCCCTCCCAGTTCCGCAGCTGCGCGGCCCGCCCGCCGATCCCATGGCTCCCTTCTCCACCCTTGGGATTTCTCGTTTGTTCGCCTCCTCTCCGGTACCCTCAATCCCGTAGATGCAGGTGGGCATCCTCCAGCCCCAGCAAGTACTGCGGACCAGTTGGGCTGGCTGGCCCCTTTCCTGCAGAAGCAGACAACACCCACTTCTACCCTCGTAGGAGCCCCTTTCTACACTCACTTCCCTGGAACCCGTGATCCTGACTCCCCTCCTCCCGGACCCCAAGCATCCAGGACGTGTACGGTATAAGGGGAAGTTGTAGTGGGAGGCAGGTGGGCGTTGTTCCTGGAGTTTCAGGGTAGAGAAGCAGGTGGGGAGGAGTTGGGTGAGATACAGAGGTGGAAGCCAAAAGTCTGGAGTTAACCTGACTTCTCTTCTGGCTCCAGGGGCTGCCGGGATCGTCTGTCCTCACCCTCCTTGTCCTCCCCAGCCCTAACCACCCGGCAGCCTCTTCTCTGTCTCTGCTGCCCGTCCTGCCTTCACTCTGAAACAGCCTGCCCCCTCCCGGGTCCCCAGTCCTCACCTTCGCCCCACACGCCCCCCTCTCTATTTATCACATTTCCTTTCGTGTCCCCCTAACCCCATCGCTTGGTGCGAGTGCTCTCTTGCCCTCCTCTCCCCATGACTGAACCTCACAGACATGGCTGTTTATTTAGGTGACACCATGTGGGAGACACAGAGGAACCCATTTCCATCCTGGCTCCACTGGGGCATTTCCTTTCCAAGTCCTTCAGTCCCTCCCAACCAAGCCTATGTTACTGGGTCAGGCAAGGTGAGAGATATAAAGTATGCAAAAGAAAACGTTACTATTTTGTTGAGGAACAAGATACATGTGGAATAGTTGACAATGCAGAGGAACAGGGTAGAGGAAGGAGGGTTGATACAGTATTAGAGTCAGACAAACGTGGGTTCAAATCGGCTCTGCCACTTACAAACTGAGCCACCTTGCACAAGGCACTGGGTCTTCCCTCTGTTTCTTCACCTGCAAAATGGGGGAGAGTAACAGGTTGCCCTGAGAATTGAGAGATAATACAAGTAAAGTTACACGCCTAACAGATCAGTGGCTCTCCCAGTGTGGATCCCAGACTAGCAGCATCAGCATCGCCTGGGAACTTGTTAGAAATGCAAATTCTTGGGCCCCACCCCAGATCTGCTGTTTAAGAAACTGGAGATGGGGCCAGCAATTGCATTTTCCCAAGCCCCCAAGTGCTTCTGATGTTCACACAAGGCTGAGGACACTGAAGAAGATGCCCCACAAAATGTTACGGCCTTGCCTTATACTATAAAGAATGGCAAAGGGCCCGTGTAGGGGTGCTCTGTGACTCCCAAGCAGGAGGATCACTGCAGGCCAGTAGGGAGGTGAGGAGCGGCCTCACAGAGGAGGTGGGACTGGGCTGGGGAAGGAAACAGAGAAGCCTTTCTGCAGTGGGTGAGGGAGATGGGGGGAAGCTCCCTCTCCCTTACCCTACCTACCACCCAGCACGATTTTACCTCTCAGGCTTCTCAGTCTCCAAAGCAGAGCAGACCATGTATCTGAACGCGGAAGCTGAGCTCTGGAGCCCAGAGCCTCAGGGCCCTGAGGGAAGGTTCCCCCAGGAGACCCCTGCCCAGGCAAGGCCTAACTCTGAGGGCCCTGTCCTTGCCTGGCAGCCCTCAACACCCTGGGAAGCTGCTCACAGGAGGCTGTGCTCTGGGCTTCTCCACCTTCACAGTCCACCTCAGCGAGGAGGGAGGTGCCGCTGAAACCGCCAACCACTTCTTCAGTTGGGTGTGGGGCATAGCCTCTCCTCTCCCACCTCTGTCTCCTCTGCTTCCTCCTCCCCCATGCTGCTCTCACCTCTCTCCCCTCTCCCTGCAGGCTGGGAGCAAAGGGAGAGGAGGAGGAGAAGAGAGGACAGACCCAGCCCTCTACCTACTATGGCACTCCTTTACCTGCCAGCTGTCACAACCAACCCTTCCCCAACTCCCCTACCCGGGACCCCCATCTCCACCCACAAATCCACTCAAATTTCCTGCCTGGAATGTGGAGTCTCTTCCCACTGCTCTCACCTCTCTCAGCACAGCCTGGGCAAGGGGCCCTTCTCCTCCCCCTAATATAGGAAGTACTTCAGCCAAGGGGCCCACCTGACCCTGTGCGAACACTTTCACACAGGTGATAGGCCCTACTCCTGCAGAAAGTGTGGCCACAGCTCTTGCCACAGCTCACACCTGGCCCAGCACTGCGGCACACACCTGCCTGAACCCAATCACTGCCACCAGCGTGGCAAGGGCCTCTCCCCAAGGCTCCAGCCCGTTGCAGCCTGCCACTCTACACACAGGCAAGCAGCCTTACGTCTGTGCCACCTAAGCCTTCTTGTGGTAGATGAGGGTGCTGGCCCCCACTCCAACCTGCAACACCAGCAGCAGAACCATACCTGGGGGCGTCCCCATCACAGTGACCAGTGAGGCAAGGGCTATGGACATTGCTCAGGGCTGGTGCAGCACCAGCAAGTCTGCAGAAGCAAAGGCTGCAGGCATGGTTTCTGATACAGCCCCAGGCTGGTGCAGCATCACCAGGGCCACATCAGGGACAGGCTCTACTGCTTGCCTCTGTGGCTGTGGTTTCACTTGGAACACCCACCTGCCATGACACCAGGCCTCATATGTGGAGAGGAATGAGATGAACACAGTGGGGAGGCAGGGAATCAGAGCCCCTGTGGCTGCATCACCGCCCCCAATCTGCAGCGCTCTATGAGGGTGGCAGGGCAGCCTCAGAGACAGACTTCCTCCACCTGTGGGAGGCATAACAGAGCAGAGATCCACCCACTCCCAGCCAGGGTGACCTTCAGAGCAACCATAAGGGGTAGCTCGAGTGTCTCGCCTGAACCCACTCAAAGCTGGAATGGCCAGGTCCACTTCACTCTAGACCAAAGTGCCAAGTCCTAAGGGAGCTCCCAAGCCAGGAACTTTTCTCTGGAGAAGAATCCATACTTCTCAGGGTCTTAAAAAATTTTGTTTTTTATATAAATAAGAGGTCCTGGGGCACTTTTCCATCTCCTGTCCTCCATCGGAGAAATTTCACTAGGCTGTCTCAGACGTGCTGTTGTCGTGGATGGATTAGACTCCTTGGGACTTTCTTGAAGGGTCATTTTAAAGTGATAGCTTAGGCTGGGCATGATGGCTCATGGCTGTAATTCCAACACTGTGGGAAGCCAAGGTAGGTGGATTACTTGAGGCCAGGAGTTCAAGACCAGCCTGACCAAACCTGGCAAAACCCTGGCTATACAAAAAACACAAAAATTAGCAAGGCGTGGTGGCCCATGCCTGTAATCCCAGCTACTCAGGAGGTTAAGGCATGAGAATCACTTGAACCTGGGAGGCGGAGTTTGCAGTGGCCGAGATCACGCCACTGCACTCCAGCCTGGGCGACAGAGTGAACCTCTATCTCAAAACAGAACAAACAAAGAAAAAAATGCCCTTAAGAGTTCTTTTATAAAAATAAAAACAGAAAAAAAATAGATAACTTAATTTCCAGAGATCTCCAGGACAACCCCCTACCATCAAATCCTAGTCCCCCAACTAATCCCACCCAACCCCCAGAGGCTACTGGGTTCTTCCTGCCTCAGGTGTTCACACTACACCCGGCGCCCCTATTTGATGAGCCATCTTCCTGTGCCTACTCCTTGCTTCACCAGGTCCTGTTCTTACGAGTTTACTGTTACTCTTCATGTTATAGGGTAAGTGAGACCTTATTCTTGTATTAACTTGCCCCAGAGTATACTCTTTGGAACTCGGCAATATTTCTCCCTATGATGTACCAAGGAGGTTGATTACTGACACATGCTAGAAGAAATTAAATACGCTTAGTGGTCAAAGGATTACTTGAGAGACTGCTAATCATTTCCACCCTTTCGGGAAATGTGTATTGAGTCTACCATGTGTCAGGAGTTGTTCTGGGACCTGGGTATCATAGTCATGTGGCATAGCCCCTGCCTTCGAAGGATTTGATGTAGGGGCGGTTTAGAATGAGCATCTCAATATTGAATCCAGCACCTAGTCCTATCCATTTTATCTGCTCTAATATATCTCAAGTCTGTCCACTCGTTTTCATCCCTCCACATCCCTGGGCTAGCCACCATGTGGACCATGTGGCCTTCTCTGAGTCATTGCAGTAGCTGAAGAGGCTGGGAATGGCCTTCTCTACAGTATGACACACACCTAAGAGGGATCCTTTAAAAATGCAAATCTGATTGTTTCAGTCAGCCTCCTTAAACCTATTCAGTGGTTTTCCATTGATCTTAGGTTAAAGACCCAAGTCCTTAACCTGACCTCTAAGGCCCTGCAAGGGGTGGCCCCTCCTCTCCAGCCTCATCTCCCACCACACCCCCTCACTCGTGTGCTCCAGTTGCTGTCCACCTTGTGCTTCCTCCTGCACAGAGTCTCCAGGGAGGCTGGACCCTCTGTGGAAAGGCTCCTTCCTCTGTTCCTCTCCTCTTAGCTCCTCTTCATTCTTCAGGCCTCACCTTCTCAATAGCCTCAGGGAAGCCTTCCTGACCTTCTTTTCAGGGTCAAATTCTCCTGTTATGAGCGCTCACACTAAGGTGTACCTTTCCTCAGAGGCACTTGGCCCTGTTGGAGTTCTACATTTGTTGATGATTATGTACAGACTGATGTCTGTCTGCCCCATTGAATGTAAGCTCCCTGAGGGCAGGGACTATGACTGCAGATGCTCACTCTTGCCACTCCCTGGACCTAACACTGGATACTTTATAAATAGTGGTTGAATAGATGCATTCATGGCAGGATCTGGGCAGGAGGCTAGATATTTCAGGATTTCAGAGGTGATGAATTAAGGCCATGATTCTCCCTCCTGTAGCTGCAGCCCAAGAATCCCATGTGCTATTACCTAACACTGTTACTTCCTCCTTAATTCCTGGCATCATTCAGGTCCACAGCCCTGCCTTCATCCCAGGCTTCCTCCATCTTGCCTGTGAGACCCTCTCCCTCTTTAACTTTTTAGTTCCCCTTTCTGGTTTTGCCTCATTGACTTCAGAAGCCAGCATGGAATAATGTCGCAAGACCCAGGATCCAGAACTGGAGGCCAGGTGCAGTGGCTCACTGCTAAAATCCCAGAATTTTGGGAGGCCAAGGCAAGAGGATTGCTTGAGCTCAGAAGTTCAAGACCAGCCTGGGCAACATAGTGAGACTTCGTCTCTACAAAATATTTTTTCAACTTTTATTTTAAGTTCCGGAGTACAAGTGCAGGATGTGCAGGTTTGTTACATAGGTGAACATGTGCTATGATGGTTTGCTGCACCTGTCAACCCATCACCTAGGTATTAAACCCGGTATCCATTAGCTATTCTTCCTGATGCTCTCCCTCCTGCCACTTCCCCTTCTGACAGACTTCAGTGGGTTATTGTTCCCCCCACCCACATGTGTCCAGGTGTTTTCATCGTTCAGCTCCCACTTATAAGTGAGAACATGTGGTGTTTGGTTTTCTGTTCCTGTGTTAGTTTGCTGAAGATAGTGGCTTCCAGTTCCATCCACATCCCTGTAAAGGACATGATCTCATTCCCTTTTATGGCTGCATAGTATTCCATGGTGTACGCATACTACATTTTCTTTTTTCTTTTTTTTAAGGTGGTGTCTTGCTCTGTCACCCAGGCTGGAGAGCAGTGGCACAATCTCGGCTCACTGCAACCTCTGCCTCCTGGGTTCAAGCGATTCTTCTGCCTCAGCCTCCCAAGTAGCTGGGACTATAGGCGAGTGCCACCACACCCTGTTAATTTTTGTATTTTTAGTAGAGACAGGATTTCACCATGTTGGCCAGGCTGGTCGTGAACTTCTGACCTTGTGATCTGCCCACCTCGGCCTCCCAAAGTTCTGGGATTACAGGTATGAGCCATCGTGCCCGGCATTTTTTTTTTTTTTTTTTTTTTTTTGAGATAGAGTCTCACTCTGTCACCCAGGCTGGAGCGCATTGGCACAATCTCAGCTCACTGCAACCTCTGCCTCCCGGGTTCAAGAAATTCTCCTGCCTCAGCCTCCTGAGTAGCTAGGATTACAGGCATTTGCCACCACACCTGGCTAATTTTTTTGTATTTTTAGTAGAGACAGGGTTTCACTATGTCGGTCAGGCTGGTCTCGAACTCCTGATCCACCTGCCTCAGGCTTCCTAAGTGCTGGGATTACAAGTGTGAGCCACCACGCCTGGCTGCATACTACATTTTCTTTACCTAGTCTTTCATTGATAGGCATTTGGGTTGACGCCATGTCTTTGCTATTGTGAATAGTGCTGTAGTGAACTACAAAATATTTAAAAATTAGCCAGGTGTGGTGGCTTGTGCCTGTAGTCCCAGCTACTTGGGAGGCTAAGGTGGTAAGGTTCGTTGAACCTGGGAGTTTGAGGCTGTAGTGCTCTATGATTGAGGCTGTGAATAACCACTGTATAGTGAGAACCTGTCTATTTCTTTTTTAATCTTTTTAATCTAGCTAACTAGGAATAGAAAGTAACTTCCAAAGTCAAGACAAGGATACCAGTTTTTACTGTTTCTATTCACCTTTCTGCCAAGAAGTCTGAAGTGACACAAGAAGAAAAAGAAGAAATAAAGCCATCACTATACATAGACAATTACTATACATAGATTGCTTACTATACAAAGAAAATTCACAAGAACCTACCAACTATTAGAAATAACAATTTCCTTGCCGGGGGCAAGGAGAATACACAAACATCAATATCCTTACACCACAGCAATAAACAGATAAAAGATTTCATTTTAGGCCAGGCATCGTGGCTCACGCCTGTAATCCCAGCTCTTCCGGAGGCCAAGGCAGGCGGATCATGAGGTCAGCAGATCGAGACCGTCCTGGCTAATACAGTGAAACCCCGTCTCTACTAAAAATACAAAAAATTAGCTGGGCGAGTTGGCAGGCACCTGTAGTCCCAGCAACTGGGGAGGTTGAGGAAGGAGAATGGCGTGAACTCAGTAGGCGGAGCTTGCAGTGAGCCGAGATTGCGCCACTGCACTCCAGCCTGGGCGACAGAGCGAGACTCCGTCTCAAAAAAAAAAAAAAAGAAAAGAAAATACCATTTGTCATAACAAAAATCATAAGATACTTAGGAATAAATATAACAAAGTCTGTGTATGATATTTATGGAGAAAATTATAAAGTTTTATTAGAGAACATAAAGAAGATATAAAAGAATAGGAAGAGATCCCCTACTCACAAAGACGGAAGTTTGATATAAAGCTGATAATTTTTCTCAAATCTAAAAATTCAGTACAATTCTAAGCAAAACTCCAATCAGATATTTTATGGAACTTGACAGACTGTTCTTAAAATTCTTTTTTTTTTTGAGACGGAGTCTCACTCTGTTACCGAGGCTGGAATGCAATGGCGCGATCTCGGCTCACTGCAAGCTCCACCTCCCAGGTTCAAGTGATTCTCCTGGCTCAGCCTCCTGAGTAGCTGGGACTACAGGTGCGCACCACCACGCCCGGCTAATTTTTTTGTATTTTTAGTACAGACGGGGTTTCACCATGTTGGTCAGGCTGGTCTTGAATTCCTGACCTCGTGATCTGCCCGCCTCGGCCTCCTCAAGTGCTGGGATTATAGGCATGAGCCACCACACCCGGCCTTAAAATTCTTATGGAAGAGTAAATGGCCAAGAAAAAACAAAACTTGAAGCAGAAGAATATGAGATCCCTTGCCTAACCATATGTCACAAGTTTACTGGTTGAAACTTAGAGTGATTAAAACAGTCTAGTCCTGGTATATGCACACATAAATAGACCACAGTACAGAACAAAACTTTTTTGAATCAGATCCTAATAGGGTTTGGATCTGTGTCCCTCCCTCTCCAAATCTCATGTCGAATTGTAATCCCCTTTGTTGGAGATGGGGTCTGGTGGGAGGTGATTGGATCATGGAAATGGATTTCCCACTGGGTGCAGTTCTCATGATAGTAAGTTATCATGAGACCCGGTTGTTTAAAAGTGTGTGGAGGCCAGGTGCAGTGGCTCTTGCCTATAATCCCAGCACTTTGGGAGGCTGAGGCAGGAGGATCACTTGAGCTCAGGAGGTCAAGACCAGCCTGGACAACATGCTGAGACATCATCTCTACAAAAATACAAAAATAGTAGCCGAGCATGGTGATGCATGCCTGTGGTCCCAGCTACTCAGGAGGCTGAGGTGGGAGGATCGCTTGAGCCCAGAGGGTGGAGGTTACAGTGAACTGAGATTGTGCCACTGCATTCCAGCCTGGGTAACAGAGCAAGACTCTGTCTCAAAAAAAAAAAAAAAAAAAGCGTGTGGCACCTCTTCCCTCTCTTCCTCCTGCTCCAGCCACGTAAGACATGCCTGCTTCCCTTTCACCTTCCACCATGATTGTAAGTTTCCTGAGGCCTCCCCAGCCATGCTTCCTATACAGCCTGTGGAACTATGAGCCAATTAAACTTTATAAATTACCTGATTTCAGGTATTTATCTATAGCAGTGCAAGAATGGACTAATACAGACCCTCAAAGATATGAGACTTGGCTATAATGGAAGTGACATAAATCAGTGGGAAAGTTCAATGGTTTTGAGTTAACTGGCTATCCAAACAAACACACAAAAAATAAATTCTACATTACATCCTACCCAGAAGTAAATTTCAGGTAGCTAGAGTAAAAAGCAAAACTGAAAACTATTCAAAGAAAATATAAGATCACATATTGATGATATCAGAATAGAGAAGGATTTCTTATACAAAATTTTAAAAGTACAAAAGTACAAGCAGTTAACAAAATGAAGAACACTATATGATTATATCAATAGATGGGGGAAAGGCGTTTGACAAAATTTAACATCCTTTCATGATACAAATTCTTAGCAAATTAGGTATAGAAAAAGTGTATCTCAACACAATAAAGCCCATATATGACAAACCCACAGCTAACATCATACATAATCATGAAAAGTTAAAAGATTTTCCTCTAAGATCAGGAACAAGACAAGGATAACCATTCTCACCATTTCTATTCAATATAGTACTAGAAGTTCTAGTCAGAACAGATAGGCAAGAGAAAGAAATACAAGACATCCAAATTGGTCAATGTTGACCAGGTTGGCCTCGAACTCATAGCCTCGCCTCCCTGTGCACCAGGACAGCTGGCTTGAGCCACTGATGCTCCCTAGGCATCCAAATTGGAAAGAAAGAAGTTAAATTGTCACTTTGTAGATGACATGATCTTATATAGAGAAATCCCTAAAGATACCACCAAAAAAACTATTAGAACTAATAAATTCAGTAAAGTTGCAGGATACAAAATCAATATTCAAAAGTCAGTAGCATTACTGTATACTAATAATGCACCAACCAAAAAAGAAATCAAGAAAGCAATCACATTTATAATAGCATCAAAAATATATACTTAGGAATAAATTTAATCAAAGAGGTGAGAAATCTGTACACTGAAAACCATAAAGCATTGAAGAAAGAAATTAAAGACACAAATAAATGGAAAGATATTCCATGTTAATGGATTGGAAAGATTAATATTGTTAAAATGTCCACACTACCCCAAACTGTAGATTCCATCCAACCTCTATCAAAATTCCAATGACATTTTCACAGAAATAGAAAAAAAATCCTAAGATTCATATGGAACCACAAAAGACAAGGACCAAAATGGCCAAAGCAATCTTGAACAAAAGGAACAAAGCTAGAGCCATCACACTACCTAATTTCAGAAGCTGCCACAAAGCTATAGTAATAAAAACAGCATGGTTCTGGAACAAAAACAGACATATAAGACCAGAATAGAGGCCAAAAATAAATCCACACATTTTATGGCCAACTGATCCTTTACAAATATGCCAAGAACATACAATGGGGAAAGGACCAGTCTCCTCAATAAACAGTCCTGGGGAAACTGGATATCCACATGTAGAAGAATAAAATTTGACCATATCTCACCTCATATACAAAAATCAACTCAGGCCAGGCATAGTGGCTCACATCTGTAATCCCAGCACTTTGGGAGGCTAAGGCCAATGGGTTACTTGAGGCCAGGAGTTCGAAACCAGCCTGGCCAACATGGTGAAACCTACCAAAAACACAAAAATTAGCCAGGGGTGGTGGCACACACCTATAGTCCCAGCTACTCAGGAGGCTAAGGCACAAGAATTACTTGAATCTGGGAGGCAGAGGTTGCCAAGACCACACCACTGCACTCCAGCCTGAAGAACAGAGAGAGACTGCCTCCAAAAAAAAAAAAAAAAAAAAAAAAAAAACTACTCAAAATGAATTAAAGACTTAAACATAAGATCTGAAATGGCGGGGTGCGGTGGCTTACACCTATAATCCCAGCACTTTGGGAGGCCAAGGCAGGTGGATCATAAGATCAAGAGATTGAGACCATCCTGGCCAACATGGTGAAGCCCCATCTCTACTAAAAATACAAAAATCAGCTGGGTGTGGTGGTGCACACCTGTAGTCCCAGCCACTCAGGAGGCTGAGGCAGGAGAATTGCTTTTCTCCTATATTTTCTTCTAGTATTTTTACAATTTCAGATCTTTTTTTTGAGATGGAGTCTCGCTCTGTTGCTGGGCTGGAGTGCAGTGGCATGATCTTGGCTTCTTGACATTGGTCTGGGCAATAATTTTTTTGGACAAATGAGATTGCATCAAATGAAAGCTTCTGAACAGCAAAGGAAACAATCAACAGACAACCTACGGAAAGGGACAAAATATTTGTAAACTATACATCTGATAAGGGGTGAATATTTTTATAAGAAACTTAATAGCAAGAGTTGTTGAAAACCAAAAATCTGATTTTTTTTCTTTAAGTTGGGGTCTCACCCTGTTGCTCAGGCTGGAATACAGTGCCGCAATAATAACTCACTGCAGCCTTCAACTCCCAGGCTCAAGCAATCCTCCCACCTCAGCTTCCCAAGTAGCTGGGACCACAGGCACACCCCACCGTGCCCTGCTAATTTTTAAAATTTTTTTGTAGAGACAGGGTTTCCCTATGTTGCCCAGATTTATCTTGAACTCCTAGGCTCAAGTGATCCTCCTGCCTTGGCCTCCCAAAGTGCTGGAATTACAAACATAAGCCACTGCATCCAGCCAAAAATCTGATTTTACAATGGGCAAATGATCTGAAAAAACATTTCTCAAAAGAAGACACATAAATGGCCAACAGGTATATGAAAAACAAATGCTCAATATTGCTAATTATCAAGGAAATGAACATTTAAACCACAGTGAGATATCACCTCATACCTGCTAAGATGGCTCTGATAAAAAAAATAAAAATAAACCAAGAGATTACAAGTGGTGGCAAGGATGTGGAGAAAAAGGAACCCTCACAAACTGTTGGTAGGAATGTAAATTTGTACACCTATTTTGGAAAACAGAATGGAGCTTCCTCAAAAAATTAAAACTACCATGTGATCCAGTAGTTCCATTATCAGGTATATTTCAAAAGAAATGAACTCAGTATGTTGAAGAGATATCTGTATTCCCAAGTTCACTGCACCATTATTCACAATAGCCAAGACATGGAAACAACCTAAGTGTCCATCAATGAATAAATAGAGAGATTATGGAACATATACACAATGGAATACTATTCAGTCTTTAAAAAGAAGGAAATTCTGTCATCTGTGACAACATGGATAAAACTAGAGGATATTATGCTAAATGAAATAAACCAGGCACAGAAAGACAAATACCATGATTTCATTTACATGTGGAACCTAAAGAGTCAAACTCAGCCAGGCATGGTGGCACGTGCCTGTAGTCCCAACTACTCGGGAGGCTGAGGCAGGAGGATCTCTTGAATCCAAGAGTTTGAGGCTGCAGTGAGCTGTGATCAGACCTCTGGACTCCAACCCAGACAACAGAGTGAGACCCTGTCTCAAAATAAATTTAAAAAAATAAATAAATAAAATAAAATTGCAGAAGCAGAGAATAGAATGGTGGCTGCACAGGGGCTAGGGGGCGGGGGGCGGGTGTGGGCAGGGATTGGAGAGCTTTAGTCAAAGGATACAAAATTTCAGTTAGGTAGAATAAATTCAGGAGATCTATTGTATAACATGATGACTAGAGTTAATAACAATGTATTGTATACTTGAAAATTGCTGGCCAGCTGCAGTGGCTTATGTCTGTAAACCCAGCACTTTGGGAGGCTGAGGTGGGTGGATCGCTTGAGACCAGTTCGACACCAGCTTGGGCAACATGGTGAGACCCCATCTCTAAAAAAAATACAAAAATTAGCTGGGCGCAGTGGCTCATGCCTGTAATCCTAGCATTTCGGGATGCCGATTGCTTGATTGCTTGACCCCAAGAATTCAAGACTAGCCTAGGTAACATAGTGAGACCCTGTCTCTACAAAAAATTGAAAAAATTAGCAGGATGTGGTGGCACGTGCCAGTAGTCCCAGCTACTTGGGAGGCTGAGAAGAGAAAATCACTTGAGCCTGGGAGGTCCAGGCTGCAGTGAGCTATAATCTTGCCACTGCACTCTAGCCTGGGCGACAGAGCAAGATCCTGTCTCAAAAAAAAAATAAAAATAAAAATAATTGCTAGGAGAGTACATTTCAAATATCACGTTTAAAATGATAGTATGTGAGATAACAGATACAGTAATTACTCTAGCCATTACACACACACACACACACACATATATATACACACATCATGTTGTTACACCATAGATACAATTTTTATTTGTCGACTATAAATAAATGCACAAGCAATAAAGGAAAATATTGATACATATGACCACGTTAAAACATTTTTAAGCTTTTATAAGAAATCACATAGGCCGGGCGCGATGGCTCAAGCCTGTAATCCCAGCACTTTGGGAGGCCAAGGCGGGTGGATCACAAGGTCAGGAGATTGAGACCATCCTGGCCAACATGGTGAAACCCCGTCTCTACCAAAAATACAAAAAAATTAGCTGGACGTGGTAGTGGGTGCCTGTAGTCCCAGCTACTCGGGAGGCTTAGGTAGGAGAATGGCGTGAACCCATGAGGCGGAGCTTGCAGCGAGCCGAGATTGTGCCACTGCACTCCAGCCTGGGCGACAGAGCAGGATTCCGTCTCAAAAAAAAAAAAAAAAGAAATCACGTAAAGTAAAAGACAAGCCACAGACTTAGAGAATATTCACAATCTACATAAACAACAAAGGATTATATCCAGGATTCATAAAGAAGTTGCAGATCCATATGAAAAGGACAACGCAAGAGAATATGAGCAAAAGCTGTGAATAGGTGAGTCACAAAAGAGAAACCTAATGGTCAATAAACATAAGAAAAGATGCTCAATTTAACCAGTAATGTAGAAATGCAAATCACAGCGCGAGTTACCATTTTACACCCACAAAATCACCAAAATTAAAATTATTCTAACACTGTTGACAAAAATGTGGGACAATAGGAATGCATATATTTTGTGTTGAAGTGTAAACAGATACAACAAATTTGAAGAGAATTTTGGCACCAGTTAATGCTGAAAATGAATATTCCCTATGACCCAGCAATCTTGCTTCTAGATCTATTCCTTAGAAAAACATTTCTACACATGCACAAAAAGGCGAGGATAAAAATGGTCATTGCAGTATCAGTTAATTGTCAAGAAGAAGTGGAAATAAGCTAACTGTTGTTAAGTAAAATGGATAAATAAAGTATGGTTTGTTCTTATAATGGGATACTATACGGCAGTTAAATGAATTATAGACATATTTAGCAATGTAATGAGTAAGAAACTTGCAAAAATGGATGTTGTATGATATTATTTGTGTGAGTTTTAAAATACACAAAACAGTGGTATATGTTTAGGAAAGCAAACATTTTTTAAAAGTGCAAAGTACGCATGGGAATAATTCCCAACAACTTTAGAATGATAATTACTACAAGGAAGGAGAGAAATGGGATGGGCGTTAACCGAATTTGTAATCCATTTTTTTTATTTTTAATTTTAAAGAAAAGTGATACAAAGCAGGCGATGCAAAGGTGAGGATTTGCTTAACTGGGTTGCTGTGATCATGAAATGAGCCAATCAATGGGACAGTGCTGAATGAAAGTTGTTGCCAGTCTCTTTAGAAGGGTACAATGATGGTGGCTGTGCAGGTGGAGAGATGTGATTTCCTGACCTATTCTCTCCTCCGCCCTGTGTTGAGTCTCACGCCTCCTATTGGACGGTATAAATTGGTATAAATCTTTTTTTTTTTTTTTTTTTTGAGACAGAGTCTCACTGTCACTCAGGCTGGAGCGCAGTGGCATGATCTCAGCTCACTGCAACCTCCGCCTCCCAGATTAAAGCGATTCTCCTGCCTCAGCCTCCTGAATAGCTGGGATCACAGGCAGCCGCCACCATGTCCAGCTAATTTTTGTATTTTTAGTAGAGACGGGGTTTCACCATGTTGGTCAGGCTGGTCTCAAACTCCTGACCTCGTGATCCGCCCGCTTTGGCCTCCCAAAGTGCTGGGAACAGGCATGAGTGACCACGCCCGGCTGATATAAATCTTAACAGCTACATGCCCCAATTTCCTCACCTACAAAATGTGTATATTCAAAGTGCTACCTAATAGCATTGTCGTGAGAGTAAATAAGTTGTGTGAAGTGCTTTAGAACACTTACCTGGCTTAGAGTAACTGCTCTAGGCTACTGTTTTTGTTGTTGATGCTGTTATTATGGTTGTTGTTAGGTATCACCTCCAGCTGCATATAAACTCTTTTTTAATCTCAACTTCTAAAAATCTCATAAGAACCTTACTTGGCAACGAAAGTGCCCCAAAACTGAGAAGACCCAGACTCTTCCTTCAATGATCTAGATCAATTTGCACCTCAAATTCCTGTAAGGGCCAGGCAAGTAATGTGCCAAGTGCCAAGGGAAGGCTATAACAGGCTGGAGGGCACCCTCCCCTCCTAGAGGGGCAGCAGCTCCTGGTCCAGCGTTGCCGCATAGGAATTCAGAGCTGGCACTGCCGTGATAAATTGAAAATCTCAATTTTTCTGTAAAATCACTCTTTTTATTTTTCCTTTTTTTTTTTGGCAGGATCTCACGTTGTCACCCAGGCTGGAGTACAGTGCCATGATCCCAGTTCACTGCAGCTTTGACCTCCCAGGTCCAAGTGATCCTCCCATCTCAGCCTCCCAAATAGCTGGGACTACAGGTGTGTGCTGCCACACCTGGCTAATTTTGTATCATATACATATATATATAAACATACACATACACATATGTATATATACATGTATACATATGGGTTCAAGCATTCTTCTGCTAATTTTTTGTATTTTTAGTAGACGTGGGGTTTAACCATGTTGGCCAGGCTGGTCTCGAACTCCTGACCTCAAGTGATCCACCCGCCTTGGCCTCCCAAAGTGCTGGGATTACAGGCATGAGCCATCGCACCCAGCTAATTTTTTTAGTTTTTGTAGAGAGATGGTCTCACTATGTTGTCCAGGCTGGTCTCAAATTTCTGAGCTCGAGTGATCCTCCCACCTCAGCCTCCCAAAGTGCTGGAATCTCAGCCATGAGACACGGCATCTGGACAAAATATAAATGATAATGAATACACATCAATATTTTAAATCAAACACATTTAGATAAAGCTGACTTTTTGCCTGCTTTTTTTTGAAATTTTGGGCTGGGCCCAGTAGCTCACACCTGAAATCCCAGTGTTTTGGGAGGTCAAGGTGGGCAGACTGCTTGAGCCCAGTGTTTTGAGACCCCCCTGGGCAACATGGTGAAATGCCATCTCTACAAAAAATAGAAAACTTAGCCGGGCATGGTGGCACACATATGTGGCCTCAGCTACTCTGGAGGCTGAGGTAGAAGGATTGCCTGAGCCTGGGAGGTTGAGGCTGTAGTGAGCCATGATTGTGCCACTGCACTCCAGCCTGGTGACAGAGTGAGACCCTGTCTCAAAAAAATATATACATATTTATTAATTTTTATTATGTATTGCTATGGCATAAATGTTTGTGCCCCCCTAAAATTCATAAATTGAAACCTAATCCCCAATGTGGTGATATTAAGAGATGGGGCCTTTAGAAGGTGATTAGGTCATGAGGGGCCTGTCCTCATGAATGGGATTAATGCCGTTATAAAAGAAGCCCAGGCTGGGTGCGGTGGCTCATGCCTGTAATCCTAGCACTTTGGGAGGCTCAGGCGGGCTAATCATTTGAGGTCGGTAGTTCAAGACAAGCCTGGTCAACATGGAGAAACCCCATCTCTACTAAAAACACAAAAATTAGCCAGTCATGGTGGCAGGCATTTGTAATCCCAGCTATTCAGGAGGCTGAGGCAAGAGAATCACTTGAACCCTGGAGGCAGAGCTTGCAGTAAACCGAGATCACGCCACTGCACTCTAGCCTAGGTGACACAGCGAGACCCTGTCTTAAAAAAAAGAGGCCCAAAGGAGCTTGTTTGCCCCTTCCACCCGTGAAGATGCAGCAAGAAGGCGCCATCTATGAAGCAAAGTGTGCCCTCACTGGCTACCAAATCTGCTGGCACCACCTGCTTGGACATTCTAGCCTCCAGAACTGTAAGCAGTGTTTATTATTTATAAATTGCTCAGTGTAAGGTATTTTGTTATAGCAGTCTGAATGGACTAAGACAGATAGTTTTATAAAAATTAAACTACAGTTGGCATTTTGTATCTGTAGGTCCACACCTATGGATTCAACCAACTGAAGAATAAAAATATTTTTAAAATATATATGGCCAGTCCGGGCGCGGTGGCTCACGCCTGTAATCCCAGCACTTTGGGAGGTCAAGGCGGGTGGATCACAAAGTCAGGAGATCAAGACCATCCTGGCTAACGCGGTGAAACCCCATCTCTACTAAAAATGCAAAAAAATTAGCCGGGCATGGTGGCGGGCACCTGTAATCCCAGCTACTTGGAAGGCTGAGGTAGGAGAATGGCGTGAACCTGGGAGGCAGAGTTTGCAGTGAGCTGATATCCTGCCATAGCACTCCAGCCTGGGTGACACAGCAAGACTGTCAGAAAGAAAGGAAGGAAGGAAGGAAGGAAGGAAGGAAGGAAGGAAGGAAGGAAGGAAGGAAGGAAGGAAAGAAAGAAAAAATAATACAAATAAAAAATACAGTATAACATATATTTATACAGCATTTACATTGCGATAGGCACCATAGATAACCTAGGGATGATTTAAAGTATGTGGAAGAATGTGCATAGGTTATATGCAAATACTATGCCATGTTATACAAGGGGTTTGAACATCAGTGGGGGTTTTGGAATCAATCCCTGGTGAATACTGAGGATGATTGTATTCATAATCTCGTATTCAATGTCCATCTATTACAACATAGAGAATCAATATCATACTTCACAAGAGTTATATCTAGACCTACATGTATTCAATTTTTTTTTCAATAGGCTTTTGGGGAACAGGTGGTGTTCAGTTACATGAATAAGTTATTTAGTGGTGATTTCTGAGATTTTGGTGCCCCCATCACAGGAGGAGTGTACACTGTAAATGTGTAGTTTTTTATCCCTCACCACCCCTCCCACCACATGCATATAAATTTAACAGTAATAAGGATTGTTTAATACAGCAACATGTTCCTCAGCTATCCTTTGCAACTGTTGTAAATGCAGCACAACATACATCCATACCTCTAAAACAAAGAGAAACAAGAAAAACCACACTCAACACTATTGGGAAATGATACTTTGTCATGCTATTTGAGAGGTAATATTTAACAAGCTGGTTAAAGTGATTTCACTTACATGTTTCCACTGCTTAAATCCTCCCTACACTCCAAAGCAGTACATGCTTCAGAATCCAGGCAGAGGCACAACCTCAGATTTTCACAGAATTGGCTATAGTCATCTTTTGTTTCCAGGATACAGGGCAAGAGATTACAGAAGTCACCATTCCCCAGGGCTTGAACGGCGTTGATTACAAGAGCAGATGTGTAAGATTTCAGGTTGTGCTGTTCCAGCACTGACAGCAGATCAGTGACAGAGGTGCCCAGGTGTCATGTAATAAATGTGTGTGATAAGTTGTTTGTGATAGGTGAATCCCCCTAAAGTATGTGGGCCAGGGCAGGGCCCCTGTGGTTCAGATCTGAGGATGATACTGCTTCTGTGGGAAGATCATGACTTCTGTTTCAAATATGCTAAGTTAAGCTGGGCACCGTGGCTCATGCCTGTAATCCCAGCACTTTGGGAAGCTGAGGCAGGTGGATCACCTGAGGTCAGGAGTTTGAGACCAGCCTGGCCAACATGGTGAAACCCCATCTCTACTGAAAATACAAAAAGTTTGCCGGGTGTCGTGGCGGATGCCTGTAATCCCAGCTACTCCGGAGGCTGAGGTAGGAGAATCACTTGAACCCAGGAGGCGGAGGTTGCAGTGAGCCAAGGTCTTGCCACTGCACCCCAGCCTGGCCAACAAGAGCGAAACTCTGTCTCCCAAAAAAAAAAAAAAAAAAGCTAAGTTAGTAATACCTTTGGGACATCCAAGTAGGGATGCCAGGCAGGAAGGTGGTCAAATCTGGAGATTTGAGGCAAGAGATAAATTTGAGAGTAACCAGCTGATGGGAACTGAAGCCACAGGACAGGTGTGATCCCCTAGAAGGAAAGGGTAGCATAAGAAGAGGAGGGTCCAGGACCGACCTCTCTTGATGAACTCCAATATGACCAGGTGATTTCAGTCAAAGGCGGAGTGAGCCGGCTGAGGGGTGGAAGAGCAGCCGATGGAGGGATGGGAGGAAGCCAGAAGAGGCCAAATCCTGGAGGCCAAAAAACGACAGTGTTTCAAGAAAGAACTGGCCAGCAACGTCAGCTACTAGTGGCAGTTCAAGTAAGAAGAAAACGAAACAATGGACTTAATGACATAAAGTTCATTGCAAAAAAACATTTGAGTAGCAGCAAGGTAGAGATAAACACCAGCCTGAAAGGGTCGAGCAGTGAGTGGAAGTGAGAGAATTTTGCCCAGTTTTTTTATTATGAAAAATTTCAAACATACAGAAAACTTGAAAATATAATACAATATTGTTTGTATGTCGATCATTTTACTTAGATTTAACAATTGTTATTTATACATATATACAAATATTTATATATTATATATATACAAACATATATATATACACACACATATATATATGGTTCTTTTTTTTTTTTTCCAAGACAGGGTCTCACTTCATCGCACAGGGTGGAGTGCAGTGACCTGATCATAGCTCATCTCAGCTTCAAACTTTTGGGCTCAAGCGATCCTCCCACCTCAGCCTCTCAAGTAACTGGGGCCACAGGTGCATGGCACCATGCCCGGCTAATTTTTAAATTTTTTGTAGAGACAAGGTATCGCCTTGTTGCCCAGCTGGTCTCAAACTGGACTCAGGTGATCCTCTTGCTTTGGCCTCCCAAAGTTCTGGGATTACAGACATGAGCCACAGTGCCAAGGCCTATATACGTCTTTGTGGGCTTGTTTTTAGTTTTTTGTTTTGAGATGGAATTTCGCTCTTGTTGCCCAAGCTGGAGTGCAATGGCGCGATCTCGGCTGTACGCAACCTCCGCCTACTGGGTTCAAGCAATTCTCCTGCCTCAGACTCCCGAGTAGCTGTGATTACAGGCATGCGCCACCACGCCAAGCTAATTTTGTATTTTTACTATAGATGGGGTTTCTCCATGTTGGTCAGGCTGGTCTTGAACTTCCGACCTCAGGTGATCCGCCTGCCTCAGCCTCCCAAAGTGCTCGGATTGATTACGGGCATGAGCCACTGTGCCCAGCCCTTTTTTTTTTTTTTAAACATAGAAATTGTTGAGTGACTACTAAAACATTCTTGGACCATATGAAAATATAGGAAAGCATGTGCTTCACACCTAAGTACCTCAGCATGCATCTCCCAAAAATAAGGAGATTCCATAACCACAATACGTAATCACAGCTAAGAAAATAATGATCATGGCCAGGCACGGTGGCTCACACCTGTAATCCCAGCATTTTGGGAGGCTGAGGCAGGAGGATCACAAGGTCAACAGATTGAGACCATCCTGGCCAATATGGTGAAACCCCGTCTCTACTAAAAATACAAAAATTAGCCGGGCGTGGTGGTGCATACCTATAATCCCAGCTACTTGGGAGGCTGAGGCAGGAGAATTGCTTGAACCCAGTAGGGACAGGTTGCAGTGAGCTGAGATTGCGCCACTGACCTCCAGCCTGGTGACAGAGCAAGACTCAGTCTCAAAAAAAAAAACAAAATTAGAAAATAACGATCATTTCTTCACTTCATCTGATAGCAGAATATACTCAAATATTCCCCAGTTAGCCTCAAAATGTCTTTTATATATATATTTATATATATATATATCTTTCTTTTTAATTTCTTTCCTTCCTTTCTTCTGTTTTTCCTTCCTTCCTTCCTTCCTTTCTCTCTCTCCTCCCTTTCCTTCCTTCCTTTCCTTCTTTCTTTTTTGACTGGGTCTCACTGTCACCCAGGCTAGAGTGCAGCAGTGCAATCACAGCTCACTACAACCTCCACCTCCCAGGCTCAAGTGATCCTCCCACCTCAGCCTCCTAAGTAGCTGGAACTACTATTTAGGTGTGACCCACCACACCTGACTAATTTTTGTATTTTTTTTTTTTTGTAGAGACAGGGTTTTTCTCTGTTGCCCAGGTGGGTCTTGAACTCCTGAGCTTAAGTAATCCACCTGCCTTGAACTCCTGAGCTCAAGCAAAGTGCTGGAATTACAGGCGTGAGCCACTGCATCCAGCCTATGCATATATTTCAAATCAGGATCAAATCAAGGTACATGCGCTGCATGCATTGTGTTCCTCTTGGAGGGGTGTGGATCTGGTGACAGATGGTTGAGGGAGCTCACCTCTGATGACTTTCATTTTCTCTGTGACATAAGAGGGAGGTCATCAAGTGAGCATGAGGTGAGAGACAGAAGAGCCTCAGAGGTTCAAGGATCAGGGAGGTTTAACGTAGCCATTGACCAGAGTGATGTGGTTGGGCCACTAAACAATTCTGGGAGCCTCCTTAGAGTTCATGATCATGAGTGAGGAGTGGGAACCATTTCCTGATTGTGTGATTTCCCCCACCACCACCAACAGTTCTTGGCTATCAGAGTAAAATCCTGAAGAAAACAGATCACTGGGCTCATCCAGGGTTGGGGTTTTGCCACTTGGGTACAAAGGATGAAAATACAGAGGGGAAGGGGAGTTGGCGACATTGTCCAGAGAGGTGTTGAAATGAAGGGTTGTGGAGTTGAGCTGAATAGGGAGGGGCTCATAAGCTGGAAGACGGAAGGCATCATTGATCCAAAGGTCCTAGGAGACTGAAAATTGGTTGCGAGGAGGGCAGACAGACTGATGGACAGACGGTTAGGAGGTGGGGGCCAAGAGCAGGCTGCTTGACTGATTCTCAAGGAGGGGCTCTTTCAGGTGATAAGGTCCAGGGTATGACAATGAGAATGTGTGGCCGAGTTGGAGAGGAGAAGATTCTTGGGGATTAAGTGGCCAGGTTATTGAGAGGTCAAGTAGGGAATGGATCCTCCAGGTGGACAATGAAGTCTCCCAGAGGGAGGACTCAATGCAAAGACAGACGGTCAGCTGGGCCAGCGTTCCCCTGAGTGAGGTGGAGGGGTCTGGCAGACAGTAGCAGTGAGAAAGGAAGAGGAAAGTTTAGCCTAATTGCAGT
This sequence comes from Homo sapiens, assembly GCF_000001405.40. NCBI lineage: Eukaryota > Metazoa > Chordata > Mammalia > Primates > Hominidae > Homo > Homo sapiens. The sequence goes on from NT_167246.2 coordinate 4,654,818, forward strand.
GCCTGGAAGGCCGCGGGTTATTTTAAACTAGAGTTGGGGGCTGGGGGAGGAGTAGTCCGGAGGCAGCAATCTGAAGCCAGGAGAGCACCCTCAGCTGTAAGAAAATCAACAGCTCTCATTTCAGAAGCCTGCAAAGGAGGTAGTGCCCTCAAGGGAGAGTTAAATTTCACTTAACGCCAGGAAGTGGAGGGAATGCTCCAAGGAGAAGCTAAGGGTATGAGGGGGGCTACAGTTTATTAGAGGGCACAGGCAGGTTAGGGAGGGGGAAAGTGGAGGGCTGAGTCAGAGCCAGAAGGTACAGAGTGTCATGGAGACACAGTGCAATAGAGTAGGTGGGCTTGGGAGTTTATGTTTTCACTATGAAATGATAAAAACAAGGACAGGAGGCAGGCTGGATTTCACCCAGTTAGTTTCTTGGAAGCTGTAAAAAGTGGCGTTTAAGAATGTAGCCTTGGCCAGGCACGATGGCTTATGCCTGTATCCCAGCACTTTGGAAGGCCAAGGCAGGCGGATCGCTTGAGGTCAGGAGTTTGAGACCAGCATGGCCAATATGGTGAAGCCCCGTCTCTATTAAAAATGGAAAAAACAGCCAGGAGTGGTGGCAGGTGCCTGTAATCCCAGCTACTCGAGAGGCTGAGGCAGGAGAATTGCTTGAACCCGGGAGGCGGAGGTTCCAGTGAGCCAAGATCACGCCACTGCACCACTCCAGCCTGGGGGACAGAGCAAGACTCGTCTCATTAAAAAAAAAAAAAAAAAAAGAATGTAGCTTCAGGCGGGGTGCAATAGCTCACGCCTCTAATCCCAGCACTTTGGGAGGCCAGGAGTACAAGACCAGCCTAGCAAACATGGTGAAACCCCATCTCTACTAAAAAAAATACAAACATTAGCCAGGTGTGGTGGTATGCACCTGTAATCCCAGCTACTTGGGAAGCTTAGGTAGGAGGATGACTTGAGCCCAGAAGGTGGAGGTTGCAGTGAGCCAAGATGGTGCCACCACACTCCAGCCTGAGCAACAAAGCCAGACCCTGTCTCAAAAAAAAAAAAAAAAAAGAAAAGAAAAGAAAGAAAAGGAAGGAAGGAAGGAAGGAGAGAGAGAGAAAGAAAGAAAAGATAAAGAAATAAAGAAAGAAAGGCAGGCAAGAAAGTGGCTTCTAAAGCAGAACTGGCTGCATTCCAATTCCAGCTTTGTCATGCACTAACTGTCCTGTCTATAACCTTGGCAAGGTCTCTGGGCATCAATTTCCTCTCTGTAAAATGGGGATAACACTAGTACCCACCTCACAGGGTTGCTGTGACAATTCAAAGATGCAATGTGTTAAATGTTGATATGGTTTGGATCTGTGTCCCCACCAAATCTCATGTAGTCCCAGTGTTGGAGGTGGAGCCTGGTGAGAGGTGGTTGGATTATGGGAGTGGATTCTCACGAATGGTTTAGCACCATCCTCCTGGTGCTGTTCTCATGATAGAGAGTTCTGGCAAGCTCTGGTTGTTTAAAAGTGTGCCGCACCTCCTCCCTCTCTCTCGGCTCCTGCCATGTGAGAAGGCTCGCTCCTCCTTTGCCTTCTGCCATAATTGTAAGTTTCTGGAGACCTCCCCAGAAGGCAAGCAGATGCCAGCATCATGCTTCCTGTAGAGCCCACAGAACCATGAGCCAATTAAACCTCTTTTTTTTTTTGAGATAGGGTCTTGCTCTGTCGCCCAGGCAGTGGCGCAATCACAGCTCACTGTAGCCTCTACCTTCTGGTCTGAAGCAATTCTCCCACCTCAGCTCCCCAAGTAGCTAGAACCACAAGCACATGCCACCATACCCAGCTAAGTTTTGAATTTTTTATAGAGACGGGTTTTTGCCATGTTGCCCAGGCTGGTCTCAAACTCTTGAGCTCAAGTGATTAACCCTCCGGCCTCAGCCTCCCAAAGTGCTGCTAGGATTACAAGCATGAGCCACTGTGCCCAGCAAACATCTTTTCTTTTCTTTTTTTCCGAGACGGAGTCTTGCTCTGTCACCCAGGCTGGAGTGCAGTGGCATGATCTTGGCTCACTGCAACCTCTGCCTCCCCGGATCAAGTGATTCTCCTGCTTCAGCCTCCCAAGTAGCTGGGATTACAGGTGCTGGCCACCATGCCCGGCTAATTTTTGTATTCTTAGTAGAAACGGGGTTTCACCATATTGGCCAGGCTGGTCTCAAACTCCTGACCTCAAGTGATCCACCTGCCTCAGCCACCCAAAGTGCTGGGACTACAGGCATGAGCCACCGCGCCCGGCAACCTCTTTTCTTTATAAGTTACCCAGTTTCAGGTATTTCTTTATAGCAGTGCGAGAAGGGACTAATGCAAATGTTTACAACAGTGCGCAAATATTTATAACAGTGCTTGGGCTGTCACCTCAGACACACTTGGTGGAGCCTTGCAGGCCCAGCAGAGCAGCCTCTTTGATTACCTGAACCCTGCCCCTGGCTAGGTAGGAAACATGAAGTGGATGATAATGATGACTTGATGAGCAGTTGTGAATGCATAAATTATATGGAGACACTAAGGACTGCAACAGACAAGAAGATCTCAGTGACAAACGGGTTATTTAGGGCAGCAGCCAACTGACTCCCACAATGAGTGGGATCTGGACAAGAAGGCGTGGTTTCCCAAGGCCACTGAAGGTTTCATTGCTACATACCCAGCCAAGTGTGGCTTTTCTAATGGTGGGGCATCTAGCTCTCCTGCAAATGTACAAAATGTCAATGCTAGGAATGCAGAATTTCTGCAAAGAAAACCCCCCAAACCCACTGATCCTAAAAACAGGGGAGATAAAAGAAAAATGGAATGAGGATAATTTCATGTTGAAGAAGACAGAAATACAAATGTCTATATATCTGGTTTGCCTCCAGGAGAAATCCTCAGAAGACTTCAAAGTCAAGCTTTATGAAGATGATCAAAGAAATCTTAAAGGAGATGCGCTTTGCTGTTACTTGAAGAGGGAATCTGTGGGCCTTCCATTAAAGCTTTTGGATGAAAATGAAATTAGAGGCTGTAGGCCAGGTGCAGTGGCTCACGCCTGTAATCCAAGCACTTTGGGAAGCTGAGGCAGGTGGATCACCTGAGGCCAGGAGTTCGAGACCAGCCTGGCCAACATGGCAAAACACCGTCCCTATTAAAAATACAAACATTAGCCGGGCATGGTGGTGCATACCTGTAGTTCCAGCTACTCAGGAGGCTGAGGCAGCAGAATCGCTTGAACCCTGGAGGCAGAGGCTGCAGTGAGCCGAGATCATGTCATTGCACTCCAGCCTGGGCAACAAGAGTGAAATTCCATCTCAAAAAAAAAAAAAAAGAGGTTACAAGAAGAAGCTGTCACTACAACAAAAGCTGTTGGTCTGGGGATCTGCAAGGGAGCTGGGCCATCCAGAAGGTACCATAAGCAAGTTGTCATAATCAAACATATGTTTCATCCTATGGATATTTTTGGTTGTTTTGTTTGTTTTCTGAGATAAGGTCTCACTATTGCTCAGGCTGGAGTACAGTGGCGTGATCACAGCTCACTGTGCAGCCTCAACCTCCTGGGCTCAAGGAATCCTCCTATCTCAGCTTCCCAAGTAGCTGGGACCACAGGTGTACACCACCATTCCTGGCTAATTTTTTTAAAAAAATTTTTGTAGGCCGGGCATGGTGGCTCACACCTGTAATCCCAGCACTTTGGGAGGCTGAGGCGGGTAGATCACGAGGTCAGGAGTTCGAGACCAGCCTGGCCAACGTGGTAAAACCCTGTCTCTACTAAAAATACAAAAATTAGCTGGGCATGGTGGTGGATGCCTGCAATCCCAGCTACTCGGGAGCTGAGGCAGAGAGTCGCTTGAACCCTGGAGGCGGAGGTTGCAGCGAGCCGAGATTGCACCACTGCACTCCAGCCTGGGCGACAGAGTGAGATTCCGTCTCAAAAAAAAAAATTTTTTTTTGTAGAGAAGGTGTCTCACCATGTTTCCCAGGCTGGTCTTGAACTCCTGGGCTCAAGAGATCTGCCCCTTGGCCTCCCAAGGTGTTGTAGTCACAGGCATGGGTCACTGCACCCGGCCCATCCTGTGGATTTTAAGGATGATGAGTTGGTGCTAAATGAGCTCAGAGAACTTTCAGTGCTCAACATTGAGACCAATGAGGAATGTTTTGTTTGACAGACTCATGGATGGTGTGGACTCTGTGTTCTGGAGGAATGCAGAGGAAACGGATTATTATATTCAAGTCCTCCTTGGAAGGTGGTTTGTTGACCCAGACATGGAATAAGGTTACAGACTATTAGGTTCAGGGGACCTCAGGAAAAAGGAGGAAAATCTAAGGGGATGGGAGGCTTTCCTCAGTGCCTGTGAGGCCAACAGACACTTTCAATCTCCAATGTGTGTATGCTTCAGAAAGGGCAAGATGTTGGCTGTCCTTTCACTCTCCACCAGCTGAAATGTGGTCTCTTCCCATTATCGCCATTCTGACCACTCTTCCCAAGTCACAGACACTTCTCAGATGCCAAACCCAAAAGGCGTGGCTGAATTCATTTGCATCAACTCAGGCAATGAATTTGGGAGGAGAGTTCGCTTGTCAGAACGTAAGAACGTCACATTTTGCAGTTGGTAATGTGGAGTCTAGGGACCCTTGGAATCACTTCCCTAGCTGATCGCCAGCACACCCTCTTTCATTCATTCAATCACACTTTAGCTTAGGTGCAGCTGGGAAGGGACTTCGCGGATGTAATTAAAGTCACAAATTGGTTTATCTTGAGGTAATCCAAAGGGAGACTGTGCAGGAGAGGTCTGACTCAATCACATCCAAAGCCTTCAGTGGTGGCTGGAGAGGAGAAAACACATTTCTGCACTTAGGAACCTCCTTTCTCACCTCAATTCTAGCAGCTCAGATGAGGTGTCAGCTCCCTGCAGGCTCTGGATGAGTCCGTGGGGCCACAGAAAAAAGAACTGCAGAAAACTCAGGAATAAAAATGGAGACAGTGACACTTCCAAGTAAAACTACTAGAAGTCTTCAGAAAGTAAGGCAAGAAAAGGAAACTTGAGGACCAGAGAAGCTGCCAGGCCAGTTCATTAAGCCTTGGCTTGACCAGGAAATCCAGTGTTTTCTTGAAGGATGGAAAATCTGGAGATGAAGAATGGGAATCATGTACTGTCAAACGCAGTTGCCAAGGGGTTCAAGCCCAGGGGTGTGAAGAAGAGCTGAGACCTGCCTACAGATGCCAAGATTGCAGGGCTCATCCTGGACTATTAATGAGACCATCCAGAGGCCAAGGAGCTTACAGGGCTCACCTTTGGGGATACTGGCCCAGCAGTGCTGCAGATCCTACCCTGAGTAGAGTGACATGAGAACTGGGCTGGGGGAGTTGAGGAGAAAAGGAAGTCTCAAAGGCTCTGTGTGTTTGTGTGTGTGTGTGTGTGTGTGTGTGTGTGTGTGTCTGTGTGTGTGTGTGTAAACTGGAAATGGTTAAACTCCCCTGTGTGCAGTGGCATACCAAGCAGGGTGGAGTGGGGGGAGGAGGCTACACTGCAAGGGGTATTTTGTCACTAACATTTTTTTATAATTGCTGGTGCGCAGTATCAATAAAAAGTTGGCTTCAGGCTGGGCGCAGTGGCTCACACCTGTAATCCTAGCACTTTGGGAGGGTGAGGTGGGCAGATCACCTGAGGTCAGGAGTTCAAGACCAGCCTGGCCAACGTGGTAAAACCCCGTCTCTACTAAAAACACAAAAATTAGCCTGGCGTGGTGGTGTGTGCCTGTAATGCCAGCTACCTGGGAGGCTGAGGCAGGAGAATCACTGGAACCCGGGAGGCAGAGGCTGCAGTGAGCCAAGATGGTGCCACTGCACTCCAGCCTGGGCCAAAGAGTCAGACTCCATCTCAAAAAAAAAAAAAAAAAAAAAGTTGGTTTTAGAATTATTTTTAAATTCTCCACAGACAATACACCTTCTTATTACCTGCACCTGGAACAACCATCCCCACTCCCTGCCCATGGTAAGCTGCAGCCTGTGTGTCCTATGTGGGTAAACAGTCCAGCTCTACCAGATTGTAAATGGGGTTGGGGGGTCGGGGTAGAGGGCATGGCGAGTAAGGATTATTTTTCGCATAATAACAGTTTTATGCAGCATGGTTTTGTACAAGAGAAGTGTTTTCTAAATATTTGGCAAATAAATGAATAATTGAATTTGAGTAATAATGAAGAAAATATAAGCAGGAATTTTACAAGAAGACCTTTAGTTTAAACAAGAAGAAAGCAAGCCAGGCACGGTGGCTCATGCCTGTAATCCCAGCACTTTGGGAGGCTGAGGTGGGTGGATCACCTGATGTCAGGAGTTCAAGACCAGCCTGGCCAACATGGTGAAACCCCATCTCTACTAAATATACAAAAAAATAGCTGGGCATGGTGGTGGATGCCTGCAATCCCACCTACTTGGGAGGCTGAGGCAGGAGAATCACTTGAACCCGGGAGGCAGAGGTTGCAGTGAGCCAAGATTGTGCCACTGCACTCCAGCCTGGGTGACAGGGCAAGACTCCGTCTCAAAAAAAAAAAAAAAAAAAGAAGAAGAAGAAGGCATTCCTAATTACCCTGGTTGTAAGATAATACAAAACAGGAAATGACAGCATCATTAGAGATTTAAGGTTTCTTAACTTTTTACGTCTAGGACAGGTTTTGGAAGTCTGGTGAAGTCTGTGGAGTGTCAGAATAATCTTCAACTGCATAAAGTAAAATAAATGGGATTACAAAGGAAAACAATCATATTGAAGTACAGTTGTCAAAATGAAACAAAATGTGTAAGAAGAAGATCTAGTGGTGAGTCTAACCACTACCACTAACTACAAAGTAACCGTGAGCATACATGACATTTTGAAATTTCTGCAACTACTGGAAGATGACACAAATGTGTAAATTCTATTAACAACAGTCACATGTACTACAAATACCGGTGTAGGTTTATTGCCTACATTTATCATTGGAGAAAATGCTAAATTTCAGTTAGAGATTAGTGAAAATGAAATGTAATTTTCTCCTATTTTTGTTTGCCCTTTGGGATCCTGGATGAAGAGCCCTGCATTACACTGGGCACAGTGGCTCATGCCTGCAATCCCAGCTACTAAGGAGGCTGAGGTAGGAGGATCGCTGGAGCCTAGGAAGTTGAGGCTACAGTGAGCCGTGATCGTGCCACTCACTGCACTCCAGCCTCGGCAATAGAGCGAAACCCAGAAAGAAGAAAGAAAAGAAAAGAGAGAGAGAAGGAAGGAAGGAGAAAGAAAGAGAAGAAAGAAGAAAGGAGGGAGGGAGGGAAGGAGGGAGGAAGGAAGGAAGGAAAGAAGGAAAGAAGGAAGGAAGGAAAGAAGGAAAGAAGGAAAGAAAAGAATGAAAGGCCAGGCACGGCAGCTTACTCCTGTAATCCCAGCACTTTGGGAGGCCAAGGCAGGTGGATCACCTGAGGTTGGGAGTTTGAGACGAGCCTGACCAACAAGGAGAAACCCCATCTCTACTAAAAATACAAAATTAGCTGGGCATGGTGGCACATGCCTGTAATCCCAGCTACTCGGGAGGCTGAGGCACGAGAATTGCTTGGCCCAGGGAGGTGGCAGTTGTGGTGAGCTGAGATCGTGCCGTTGCACTCTAGCCTGGGCAACAAGAGTGAAACTCCGTCTCAAAAAAAAAAAGAAAGAAAGAAAAGAAAAGAAAAGAAAGAAAGAAAGAAAGAAAGAAAGAAAGAAAGAAAGAAAGAAAGAAAGAAAGAAAGAAGAAAGAAAGAAAGAAAGAAAGAAAGAAGGAAAATAGCTCTGCATGAGAGCCAGTGATGTCTCAGAGTGGGAAGGAAGCCAGGTCAACATGTTGCCCCTACCAACAAGCCCTTAGGTTGACAGGAGGTGCCTCTCCCAGCTTTACATTCAGAGCCAACCTCCCCAGGAGGCTCTTTTCCATCCTAAGCCTTGTTTCAGGGATCAGGGAGTGGCAACTCTCCACATGCCTGCATGCTTCCATCTGAACCAATGTTGAAGGCTCTTCTACTATTCAAAGCCCCTAAGGATGTAACATTTGGAGAAAATATGCTAAAAAGACCTGGTACTCAGAGACAATTTTCTCCAAATGTTTGAATGGGAGCATCAAATGAGTCCCCAGCCTTGAAGGTTGGGTTGGTCTGGGGAGGAAAACTAATTGTCCTTTCAGCTCAGCTATATCATCAGTCCCAAGGCAGACGTTCAGAAGATTCTTTTCTAGTTCATAGGGAAAATGACACTTAATCCTATGAGAGCCCCAAAGGCAGAGGACATGGGATGTGGTATCAGGAACCTGGAAGACATGCTTTTGCAATGGGGTACACAGCACTTAAGTGAGGGAAACCACCAGGAAGTGGCACTGGCCCTGGAATTCCCTTCATGTCACACAGGGACAGAGAGGAAACTAACATTTTCTAAGGACTTATTCCATACCAGGGGCTGCACATTCTGTGTCTTATATCTATTACAAACTGTTTCTTCATAAGGCAGGTGATTTGTTTTTCTTTTCTTCTTTTCTTTCTTTTTTTTTTTTTTTTTGAGACAGGGTCTCCCTCTGTCACCTGGGCTGGAGTCTAGTGGTGCCATCTCGGCTCACTGCAACCTCTGCCTCCCCAAGCAATCCTCCTGCCTCTCAGCCTCCGGAGTAGCTGGGATTACTGGCATGCACCACCACACCCAGCTAATTTTTGTATTTTTGGTAGAGACAGAGTTTCGCCATGTTGCTCAGGCTAGTCTCGAACTCCTGTGCTCAAGTGATCTGCCCACCTCAGCCTCCCAAAGTGCTAGGATTACAGGCGTGGACCACCATGCCCTGCCTGTTTTGTGATCTGCCCGCCTCGGCCTCCCAAAGTGCTGGGATTACAGGCATGAGCCACCACGCCTGGCTAGTGCCTGTATGTGTGTATGTGTGTGTGTATGTATGTATATATATATATATATATATATTTTTTTTTTTTTTTTTTTTTTTTTTTTTTTGAGACAGAATCTTGCTCTTTTGCCCAGACTGGAGTGAAATGGTGTGATCTTGGCTCACTGCCAACTTCTGCCCCCTGAGTTCAAGCAATTCTCCTGCCTCAGCCTCCCAAGTAGTTGGGATTACAGGCACCTGCCACCATGCCTGGCTAATTTTTGTATTTTTAGTAGGGACAGGGTTTTGCCATGTTGGCCAGGCTGGTCTCAAATTCCTGACCTCAGGTGATCCACCTGCCTCAGCCTCCCAAGTAGTTGGGATTACAGGCGCCTGCCACCATGCCTGGCTAATTTTTTTATTTTTAGTAGAGACACGGTTTTGCCATGTTGGCCAGGCTGGTCTCAAATTCCTGACCTCAGGTGATCCACCTGCCTCAGCCTCCCAAAGTGTTAGGATTACAGGCGTGAGCCACCGCACCCAGCCTTTTCATATATATATATATATATATATACTTTTTTTTTTGAGACAGAGTTTCGCTCTTGTTGCCCAGGCTGGAGTGCAATGGCGCAATCTTGGCTCACCACAACCTCCTCTGGGTTAGGGCAATTCTCCTGCCTCAGCCTCTCGAGTAGCTGAGATTACAGGTATGTGCCACCATGCCTAGCTGATTTTTTATATTTTTAGTAGAGATGGGGTTTCTCCATGTTGGTCAGGCTGGTCTTGAACTCCAAAACCGCAGGTGATCCGCCCACCTCAGCCTCCCAAAGTGCTGGGATTACAGGCGTGAGCCACCGCGCAGGGCCTCTTTTCATATATTTTTAACTAAATTAATAAAACAGCTGGGGCAGTGGCTCATGCCTGTAATTCCAACACTTTGGGAGGCCGAGGTAGGAGATCACTTGAGCTCAGGAGTTCAAGACCAGCCTGGGCAACATGGTGAAACCTCGTTTACCAAAAAATACAAAAATTAGCCAGGTGTGGTGGCACATGACTGTAGTCCCAGCTATCCCAGAGGCTGAGGTGGGAGGATTGCTTAAATCCATGAGGTCGAGGCTGCAGTAAACTGTGATCATGCCACTGCATTCCAGCCTGGGTAACTGAGCAAGACTCTGTCTCAAAAAACTAAAAACTAGGCAGGCGTGGTGGCTCATGCCTGTAATCCCAGCACTTTGGGAGGCCGAGGCAGGCAGATCACATGAGGCCAGGAGTTTGAGACCAGCCCAGCCAACATGGCAAACATGTATTTCAGTGTCTACTGAAAATACAAAAATTAGCTGGATGTGGTGGTGCGTGCCAGTAATCCCAGCTACTCAGTAGGCTAAGCCAGGGGAATCGCTTGAACCCGGGAGGCAGAGGTTGCAGTGAGCCGAGATGGTGCCTCTGCACTCCAGCCTGGGCAACAGAGCGAGACCCTGTCTCAAAAACACAAACAAATAAAGAAAACTCCAAAAAACTGAAAAGTAAATAAATAAATAAAACAAAACAAAATGTGGAAGCAATAGCAAAGGCTTGACCTTGCTCCAAAATCACAGGTTTTTTTTAAGCTGTGTTCTTATAAACTTCCAAATGAGATGAAGATAAACTTCTGCTGAGAGGGGCATGGTCATGACTTACAGTTTGGGCAGGACAAAGTATTTTCCATCACACACACACACACACACACACACACACACACACACACACTCACCTTCACACATACGGTGTTATTTCTACTAAGTTGTACTTGATTCTTCTCCAGTGGCTCTGTCTGGAGTTTATTTAATGTTACTAGTTTGCCAATGAATAGACTAAGACAATAAGCAATTTTGCTTTTATTTCTTTATTTTAAAAAACTGCTTGTTAGTCTTATGAGAAAACAAAGTGAAGAATAAAGGTAACTACTGCATGTACCACAGTAGCGAGAGAAAAAAGAGTGTCAATTAATCTAATTGATAGTCAGAGGATTGCATGGCTATTAGTGATGGAGTCGGGATTTGGGCACGTGTACATTTGTTGGATTTTGCAGCCTGGCATCTATATCCCATTTGTCTGGTGGCAAGATCCCATTTTTGCGTTGGGGCCATTATCCTCCAACATTGGGTAGTCTATGGTACTATTCCTCAAGGGACCCTCCCCTTCCTCAGATGAGTGTGAGCACCTGACCCACCCTAAGCCTATTGGAGTTCTCTCTTTTTGATCCAAAGTAGAAGCACTGACCATTGGTGTCTGCTGCCTGGATGCTGGAACTATCCTGGCTTCTGTCCTTTCCAAAGACCGCCTGTTCAGCTTTTCCTTCAGTTCTGTAAATATTTTTTCAATAATTTACTATTACTTATTAATCTGTTGCTTCTCTACAACCGGCTGCCTCCTCAGCTCCATGACTCCCAGCCTGGAGTCATAGAACAAAAGCTGAATGTGGGCACAGAAGGTTCAGCCACTGAGTGCCTATATGGTTTTGAACTCATTATTTGAAATTCAAGCTCATTACCTGAAACAGGAAGAACACCTCCTCATAAGGCTGGTATGTGAATTCAATTAGATGAAATATGTGCTCTCCGAGATCAAGGACTTTGATTTAGTCTCTGCTGAATCCGCAGTGCCTATCACAGAACACAGAGAAGAGCTTCAATAAATGTGTTGGTTTAATGACAACTGCTTCTGAAAACACTTTGTTAACGCTAGTACGTAACATGAATAGCTGTGTCCATTATGTCCAGGGTGAAGTCAGCCAATTTCGATTCTCCTCTCCTTAAAGTTTTGTCTTGCTTTCTCTTTCTTTCCTTGAATCTTCACACTAAATCTACTTTGTTTTTTAATTTTTTAAAAAGAGATAGGGTCTCACTCTGTCACCCAGGCTGGAGTGCAGTAGTGCAATCATAGCTCACTGCAATCTCTAACTCCTGTTCTCAAGCAATCCTCCTGCCTCAGCCTCACAACTAGCTGGGACCACAGGCATGGGCCACCATGCTTGGCTTTTTGCTTTTTTTTTTTTTTTTTTTTGGTAGAGATGGGTCTCCCTATGTTGCCCAGGCTAGTCTCAAACTCCTGTGCTCAAGATCCTCTGGCCTCTGCCTTCCAAAAGGATTACAGGCATGAGTCACCACCCTGGGCCTCTGACTACTTTATTTTAAAGCCCAGCCAATTTATATCTTTTTATTATTATTATTATTATTATTTTTGAGACAGAGTCTCACTGTCACCCAGGCTGGAGTGCAGTGGCCATCTCGGCTCATTACAACCTCCGCCTCCCAGGTTCAAGCGACTCTCCTGACTCAGCCACCCTAGTAGCTGGGATTATAGGCAGGCACCACCACGCCAGGCTAATTTTTGTATTTTTAGTAGAGATGGGTTTTCGCCATATTGGCCAGGCTGGTCTAGAACTCCTGGCCTTAAGGGATCTTCCCGCCTCGGCTTCCCAAAGTTCTGGGATCCCAGGTGTCAGCCACCTCGCCAGGCTGCTTGATATCTTAAAATCAGAAAAGCCACCCATCTTAAGTGGAGGGTGGGTGGGTCCATATTTACAGGAATGGAAGAAAGGAGGATGTTCCCTCTCTTTTGTCCACGTTCAGCAGCTCTGAAATTAATGCCAAGGCGAGCAAACGCCCGCCCCCCACCCCCTGCCGCCCTCGCCTTATGCCGAGACTTTGCTGTTGAACACGAAGTAAACGTTTCCCAGAAAGCCCAGTTTAAGAAACAATTCAGGGCGAGGTGAGGGCACAAAGGTAGAGAAATAAGGGGAAATGATATTTCTTTAAAGAACAGAGATCCCTGAATAGCACCGGGGGCCGTTACAGCCCATGAGGACATCTCCGAGTCCTTCTATATGACACTAGGGACCCCCGTGCCATATACAGACACTGTTCTCAGAGATTAGGAGGGGGAAAGAGGATATTGCCACAGTTCTGTCCTTCGAAATGACTCCAGATGCTTCTGAGTCTGTGAGGCCCCTGTGTCCGTCATCAGCAAAACAAGTGAGGGAGAAGTTTGAGGAGTGATGACCCTAGCAGTTATGGGTTTAAGCCTGGGAATCTTAAGCCACAGAGCAGAGGATTTGGGGGCTGAAGAAAAAGACCCTCCGCAGCTTCAGCGCGAAGAGGGCGGCGGGGACCGGGGTGGTGGGGGTGGAACCTCGCCGCCTTCCGAAGCAGGAGTAAGCTGCAGAGGCTGCGCGGGGGTTTGAGCGGAGCGAGAACAGCTCCTTCCCTTGATCATGCTGCCCTCCGGAGGTCAGTTTAGGTATCGCCGCTCCCTTTCACGCTGTTTTGTCTCTTCACCGTCTGTTCTGGATCATCCTGTCCAGAGAGACCGTTGGGTCAGAGGGTTCCTGTGGACCCCTGGGGCGAGCTTAATGTCCCCGAAAACTGCGTGCTCCAGTATCACTTGAATGCCCACCGGGTTCCGGAATCACGAGTCTCCAGAGCTGTCCCTTCGCCCCACGGCTCACATTCCAGGTCTGCCCCTCAGTGACTTCTGCAACAACACGCGCTTCTCGATCAGCTCTGAGGATTTGGGTTCTGCGACGGACAGGGGAAGGAAAGAAGGAAGGCTGTGAAGAACCGTGGTGCCTGCCTGCACAGCCCTCCTCGCGTGCGAGCATTAGTTGGCTAAAGTCGCCTGTCTCGACAGTCTCCCCTGCGGGGTATCTGGGGACCCTTTCTTTGGGAATCCACGCTCTTTGTCAGAGTAGCCAATGCCTCTCCTGTCCAAAATCTCATACCCTTGGCCCTTCTCCCGTCCTCGCGCTGAGGCTGGAGTCAGGTCAAATGTCAGAACATCTGGATGTCCCAAGAGTGACACCTGGGAGTGGGTGGGCAAGAAACCAGTAGCGGGAAGGGAAAGTGGAGGAGCAGAGGATTCCCGGGGCCGGCGTCTGGGGTGAGCTCGCGGCCCCTCAGAGCCTGGCACATCGCCGCCTGGCATCCGGCAGGCGTGAGGGAACGCATAGCGCAGCGAGTCAGGCGGGGTAAACCCGGAGCAACGCGGAGGCGGTGATCTGGGCAAGGGCGAGGTCAGTTAAGGACGCAGTTCTGGCCCCGCCCTCAAGGCACGCCTGGCCAATCAGGAATCGCTGATTCACCAAGCCTCTCCTCCTGCGCTCGCCCTCTTCTGCACTTCGGTCTCAGGCGCAAACACGTTCAAAGTCGCTAGGCCAAAGCGCTGAGATACGGTTTCCCAAGCCAATTAGAGAGCGGCTCTCGGATATGGGGCGGAACCCTGAAAAGGCGAGAGCTGAGATGCCGCTCCGTTCTGCCTTACCACGCCGCCCCCCAGCGTCCGCCAATTAGGAGAGCCCGGAGCCGGATCCACTCTCAGCCTCAGGAAGCAGCAGCCTCCGCTCCGCGGCGGGTGTGCTCGGCAGTCACAGACCCACTCAGGACACCTCCCGTTGCCGACGGGCTAGACCTGCATCCGAAGGGCCTAAGCGGGGAGGAACCGCTTTCCACCACTCTCCAGGGACCTGGGGAGGGAATGTTTAGGCCGTAGGGGTGGAGGACACAGGAAACGTAACATTTTTCCTTAACTGCGCCTCTCTTCTTAGGCCTTAAAGGGGTCCCCGTGTCTCTCCAGTCTAGAGCCTAAGTTCAAACGAGGCGTATAGGCGAGGACAGCAGGAAGGCTCCAAGTCAAACAAACGGATGGTACGAATTTCGCCTGGTCTAGCCCTGCCCCAACGGTGTGGGTGTGGGTTGGGTGCTGCAGCCCCCGAGCAAGGGGCTGTCACAGCCACAACCAGAGGAGCTATGGAGCTGCTACGGAGGAGGGATTCCAGAGTCAGCTTGGGCTTGTCCCAAGGGAGCCCTTGGGACAGTGTCTGGGGCTGCGCGGCCTGGTTCTCATCCCTTGCAGCATCTGCTATTTTAGCCAGGGGCCACCTTCCTCCAATGGCCTGGGAGTAGCTAGAGGTTAGAGGTTACACCCACCAGAAGGGATGTAAGCCCAGGAAGTAGTCAGAAAGGAAAGGTCATTCTAGAGATGGGGCCACCTGAAAAACCTTCAGGAGGAAGGAGAAAGGAAATGGGATAAGTGTCATGTCATACTAAATATTTATTTTCTGCAGACTGACTTCGGAGTAATTCTTGAGCCAGGAGGGGAGAGGTTAGTGTTCAAATTGCTGAGATCTTAGGTCAAAAAGCTACAGAAAAGAAATCACTTTGAAAAACACAATGACTCAGAGGCAGTCACCCCTTGCCAGCAATTCCAAGAGCTGAGGAGGCTTCATGCCTCAGGACATGGTGACTAGTTGAGTGAACCAGAGATTGAGGCAGTGGTTTTTACAGGGGAAGAAACAAGCCTTGGGTGTATGGGAGCAGGAAAGGAGGGTGACAGACTGGAGAAATGATAAAGGCCATTTTGGAAGCCCACAGGGAAGTGGTCTTGGGAAACCTGAAGACACTGGGATATTCAGAAGGCCAAGGGGATCCAGCTTATCCTGTTGGGCAAGGTGCTGGGAGTGAAGGCAGGTAAGCCATGTCAAGGGCCTGGGAAGCAAGGGGAAAACTGGAAGGGGTACCCCAGGTGAAGAAGGGTATGGAATGGGGTGCAGAAGTCCATGGAGATGACCGGCAGATCTCAGGGCGGTTTCTGGCACATCAGAAGTTGGGCTTATGCTTCTTGAGCTCCACCATAAGGTGGTGAATGTTGATGAGCTCAGCCCGGGCAGGGAGGGCTCGGAGCTGCGGCTGGGACAGCACCCGGTGGAAGCGATGATAGAGCTGGATCAGCTGGGTCAGCGCTCCCTGGTCAAAGAAAGTCATTGAGGGATCAAACCGTAAAATGGTGCTAATAGTGATGATTAAGAATCAGGTTAGGCGGCCAGGCGCAGTGGCTCACACTTGTAATCCCAGCACTGTGGGAGGCCATGGCGGGCAGATCACGAGGTCAGGAATTCGAGACCAGCCTGGCCAACACAGTGAAACCCCATCTCTACTACAAATACGAAAATTAGCTGGTTGTGGTGGCAGGCACCTGTAATCCCAGCTACTTGGGAGGCTGAGGCAGGAAAATCACTTGAACCTGGGAGGCAGAGGTTGCAGTGAGCCGAGACTGTGCCACTGCACTCCAGCCTGGACAACAGAGCTAGACTCTGTCTCAAAAAAAAAACAAAACAAACAAAAAAAAAAGAATCAGGTTAGGGCTCATACAGAACTTTGGGCACAGCTAGTAACTGAAGACCAAGGGTCACTTAGATGATGCTGAGCCCAGCAAAAAGATGGGGAAAATAATTAATGATGGGGGATCTGAGTGGGGCCTGGGACTTGCAGGTCACCTGAATGATACTGGTGCCATTTCTGAAGTTGGTGAAACTCCGCATTACATCCTGACTCAGAGATTCCACTGATGATTTCCAGGAACTACCAAAGCCACGGATCAGCTGAGTTACCCGGGCTAATAGCAGGAGGAAACAGTGTCAGAGAGGGATCTGGCTGATCTTCAACTCCACTAAGTTCTCCCCAAGGTATAGCCATCCTTATCATCAAACCCTCTTTTCTGGTATTCTCTCAATCCAGTCTTTCATACTCTATTCCCCCACCATGTAATCTGCATCCTTTCATTTTTCTTTTCCACTTCCCTTACCACTGATCCCATCATTACCATATTTTCCTCATACCTTCTTCCCCTCGAAGTCGCTCAGCCTGTCCACGCTCAATCAAAGCCTCAGCCTCCTTCACAAATGCCACTAAACCCCCAAAAGGGGGAGACAGCAACTCTTCAATGAATTCCTGGAAAGACACAAACACATATACACAGGTGTCCTGGTGTCAGCAGATTTGCCCAATTCTGGCATCATGACTAATGTAGATCCATCTGAATGGCATCTTTCAGCTGCTGCAAAAGTTAAGGAAAATCCTCTATGGAGAAAAATATCCTCAATCCTAATTTTGGCCCATACAGTTCCCCTGGTTAAGATCAAACAATGAACTCAAAGATCACTAGACACAAAAGAAGGGCAGCTACCAAGAGAGTCAGCAGACACAATAAGCAATAGCTGCTGACCTTAAGAACTATCCGATACGGATAGCAGTTGTACTGTGTGCAATGTCTAAAGTTAAGGATAGGCCGGGCACAGTGGCTCACGCCTGTAATCCCAGCACTTTGGGAGGCTGAGGTGGGCAGATCACCTGAGGTCAGGAGTTCAAGACCAGCCTGGCCAACATGATGAAACCCCATCTCTACTAAAAATACAAAAATTAGCTGGGCATGATGGTGGATGCCTATAATCCCAGCTACTCGGGAGACTGAGGCAAGAGAATCACTTGAACTTGGGAGGCGGAGGTTGCAGTGAGCAGAGATCATGCCACTGCACTCCAGCCTGGATGACAGAGCAAGACTCCGTCTCAAAAAAAAAAAAAAAAAAAAAGGATGTAAAAATGACCAATTAGTAAGAACTATGAGGAATGAACAGACTTGAAAAAAGGAAATTTTTTTAGATATGAAAAGCCAGTTTTAGAAAGTCAACAGATTAACAAGAATTATACAATGAATTAGAATTTATAACTGAAGAAAGGACTCAGAATGTAGCACAGACAGAAGATGGAAAATTTTGAGATAGTAGGAGATACAGAAATCTAATTAATGTATCTAGGCACTGAAATTGATGGCTACTAACATCACAAAGAGAGCCAAGAAGACATTATGTGCTTCCTGATGGAAATACATACCACTACCTCTCAAATATCCCTGTAGAAAAAAAAAAACTAATTTAAATCTGACCAAGCCTTTCCATCTAATTACACACTTATGAGAAATACACCAGACAGAGGAAGTTTGGCCACACCATGGAATGCAGTCAGCAAAATCTAAACTGTACATCATTCTAGATGACAAATGACTCAATAACTCAGTTTCTTCCAAAAATAAATTGCAGAGGAGATGGAAGGGAAATCTATAGACTAAAAAAAGACACATATATGGACTTTATATGGATCCTGATTTGAACCATAAAAATCATTTATGAAGGCCAGGCACAGTGGCTCATGCCTGTAATCCCAGCATTTTGGGAGGCTGAGGCGGGTAGATCACCTGAGGTCAGGAGTTTGAGACCAGCCTGGCCAACATGGTGAAATCCTGTCTCTACTAAAAATACAAAAATTAGCTGGGCGTGGTGGTGGGTGTCTATAATCCCAGCTACTCAGGAGACTGAGGCAGGAGAATTGCTTGAACCCGGGAGGCAGATGTTGGAGTGTGCCAAGATCGGGCCATTGCACTCCAGCCTGGAGGCAACAAGAGTGAAACTGTGTCTCAAAAAAAAAAAAAAAAAAATCACTTATGAAATAACTGGGAAAATCTGAATAGTTATTTTAGATAAGATAATTTTTTTAAGTGTGATAATGTATTGTAGTTTTTAAAACCATCTGTTACCAGGTGTGGTGGCACACACCTGTAGTCCCAGTTACTTAGGAGGCTGAGGTGGGAGGATCACTTGAGCCCAGGAGTTCGAGGCTGCAGGGAGTTATATCATGCTACTACACTCCAGCCTGGGCACTACAGCAAGGCCCTATCTCAAAAATAATTTTCTTAATAAAAATAACATTCTGATACAGATGAAGTGATAATATTCATCTGTATATGTATAAGATTTAATTCAAAGTAACTGGGGGACACAGAAGGAGGATAAGCAATAGGTGTTGGTATAGATGAAACAAAACTGTCCGTGAACTGCTATACACCGAATATCACTGATGATGCCTGGGGGTTCACTATGCTTTTCTAATAGCATAGTGAAATTTCCCATAATAAAATGTTAATTTTTGTTTAATGTAAAAGGGAGATTCAAACAAAAAAACTCATAAAAGCAAACAACCCAGACAGAAAGATCTGGTAAGAAGAAAGTGAAATTATTATTCCATTTAAAAATAAATTATTAATACTAAAATTAGCCAGGTGTGGTGGTGCATGCCTGTAACCCCAGCTACTCAGGGAGACTGAAGCAGAAGAATCACTTGAACCGGGAGGCAGAGGTTGTAGTGAGCCAAGATCATGTCACTGCACTCCAGCCTGGGCGACAGAGCAGCAACTTGTCTCAGTAAATAAATAAATAAATAAATAAATAAAAATTGTATCTTTTCTATTCTTCCCTCAAAATATTCACTTATATCCACTGAGGGTGTCAAATAACTAATATGCTGCAAGGAAGGATCTTTCTATAATCAAGGCATCTTTGTGATGTGATTTTGGACAGAGATTAAATAACCAAATTCAACCTATTACAGTTGCCTAAATGCAGTCTCACACACACATATACAAACAATAATGTAGCAGTGTACGGTGGGGCACAGGGAGTAGACTTGCCAAAGAAAAGTTGAACTAACAGTGATGACCCCTGCTAGGCAGGAGCCATAAATTATATAATGTGTTGTAAGCATGATATATACACCTGATTTTGAAGACTTCATCTTAGAATAAATTTTAAGTATATCTTTTTTTTCTTTTTTTTTTTCGGAAACAGGGTCTTGCTCCATCACCCACGCTGGAGTGCAGTGGCACAATCACAGCTCACTACAACCTCAACTTTCCTGGCTCAGTGATTATCCCACCTCAGCCTCCTGAGTAGCTGGGACTAACAGGCATGTGCCAACATGTCCCACTCATTTTTTTTTTATTTTTTGTAGAGATGGGGTTTCACCATGTTGTCCAGGCTGGTCTCAAACTCCTGGGCTCAAGCGATCCTCCCTGCCTTGGCCTGTGCTGGGATTACAGGTGTGAGCCACCGTGCTGGCCTCAGTACTATTTTTTATTGATTATATGTTGAAATAATAATATTTTGGATGTAGTGGTTTAAAAAATTATTTCATCTGTTTCTCCTTACTTTTTAATGTAGCTTCTAGAAAATTTAAAATTATTTAAGTGGCTCACATTTGTGGCATGCATTATATTCCTATAGGAGTACTGGTCTGGACTTAGATGAACTTTAAGCTTTCTATAACGCAAAAGAGAACACCTTGATAGCAGAGGAGTGACCAGAGGAAACAGTGCACTGGGCTTTAACAATCTTTCCTACGTAGTATGAAGCAGCAGCTGACCAAAAAGGACCAGAAGCATTGATGGCAGCTGGCGAGTCTCTATACCTGGCAAATCCAGTGACAAATCCCAGCTGCTCTCAGCAGAAACAACTGGTTTAAGTGCATCTTTGTGGGTGCCTTAATCTCCTGCAATGATCCCGCCTCAGCCTCCCAAGCAGCTAGAACTACAAATGCATGCCACTACGCCTGGCTTTTTTTTTTTTTTTTTTTTTTTTTTAAAGAAATGGGGTCTTAGCCGGGCATGGTGGCTAACACCTGTAATCCCAGCACTTTGGGAGGCCAAGGCGGGCAGATGACGAGGTCAGATCAAGACCATCCTGGCTAACATGGTGAAACCCCCCGTCTCTACTAAAAATACAAAATACAAAAAAAATACCGGGCATGGTGCTGGGCACCTGTAGTCTCAGCTACTCGGGAGGCTGAGGCAGGAAGAATGGCATGAACCCGGGAGGCGGAGCTTGCAGTGAGCTGAGATTGCACCACTGCACCACTCCAGCCTGGGAGACAGAGGGAGACTCTGTCTAAAAAAAAAAAAAAAAAAAAGAAATGGAGTCTCACTATGTTGCCCAGGCAGATCCCCTCAAACTCTCAAACTCCTGGGCTCAAGAGATTCTCCCATCTCAGCATCCCAAAGTGCTGGGATTACAGGCATGAGCCACAGCACCAGCAACAATTCTTTCAAAATCAGGAATATGAAAAGGGTTCTCACTATCACCTTTCTGTTCAACTTCTAAACATCATCCTGGGAGTGTTAGCCAGTAGAATAAGAAATCAAAAACATAAGATGTTAAAGACAAAAAACTAGAAAAGATTTATTTATTCCTAGTAGAACTAAACATACGTATTATACCCACCTAAAAATATGGCAAACGACTTACAGTGTCTTTGTGCTGAAAATTTAAAAAGGTTATCAAAAGACATTAAAAGACTCTCTTAAAAATTGGAGGAGGAGGCCAGGTGGAGTGGCTCACATCTGTAATCCCAGTTTAGTGAGACACTACAAAAAATTAAATTTTTAAATTTTGTATTCTCTACAGAAAAAAAAAAGCCAAGTGTGGTGCTGTGTGCCTCTAGTCCTAGCTACTCGGGAGGCTGAGACAAGAGAAGCACTTGAACCCAGGAATTCAAGGCTGCAGTGAGCTATGATTGTGCCACTGCACTCCAACCTGAGTGACAGAGCAAAACCTGTCTCAAAAAAAAAAAAAAAAAAAAAAGGATAGGGAGCCCATGATCATGATCATGGATAGGAAGTTTCAATATCATAAAGTATCAATTCTTCCAAATTAGTCTATAGACAATGTAATTCTAATCAAAATCCTTAAAGACTTTTTAAAATGTGAAAACTTTTCGAGACCAGCCTAGCCAACACGGTGAAACCCCATCTCTACTAAAAATACAAAAATTAGCTGGGTGTGGTGGCACATGCCTGTAATCCTAGCTACTCAGGAGGCTGAGGCAGGAGAATCACTTGAACCCAGGAGGCAGAGGTTGCAGTGCGCTGAGATTGTGGCCCTGCACTCCAGCCTGGGTGACAAGAGTGAGACTCTGTCTAAAAAAAAAAAAAAAGAAAAGAAAAAAAAAGAAAAGAAAAAGATTTTCTATAAATGGTTCTGGGCCAACCATCCACATAAAAAAAAGAAATAGATCCCTACCTCACATCACACACAAAAATTAATTCCAAGTAAATTTGAGACTTAAAGGTAACAAAAAAATTCTCTCTATATATTTGTTTATTCTTTAATTTTATTATTATTTTTTGAGACAGGGTCTCACTCTGTTGCCCAGGCTGGAGTGCAGCAGCACAAACAGGGCTCACTGCAGCCTCGACCTCCCAGGCTCAAGTGATCCTCCCACCTCAGCTACCTGAGTAGCAGAGACTACAGGTGTGTGCCACTATGCTTGGCTAATATATTTTTTTAATTTTTTGTAGAGATGAGGTCTCACTATACTGCCTAGGCTGGTCTCAAACTCCTGGCTTCAAGCAATCTTCCTGCCTTGGCCTCCCAAAGTGCTGGGATTACAGGCTTTAGCCACTGCACCTGGCCAAAATTCTACAATATTAAGAAGAAAATGTAGCATAATATTTTTCTGGCCTTGGAGTAATAAGGAATTTCATTTTTTTTTTTTTTAAACGGAGTCTCACTCTATCACCAGTCTGGAGTGCAGTGGCACGATCTTGGCTCACTGCATCCTCCACCTCCCTGGTTCAAGTGATTCTCCTGCCTCAGCCTCATGAGTAGCTAGGACTACAGGTACGCATCACCACGCCCAGCTAATTTTTTTGTATTTTTAGTAGAGACGAGGTTTCACCATGTTGGCCAGGATGGTCTCGATCCCGTGACCTCGTAATCCACCCGCCTCAGCCTCCCAAAGTACTGGGATTACAGGCGTGAGCCACCACACCCAGCCCAGGAATTTCTTAAACAGGACAAAAATAGTCAGGCGTGGTAGATGGTGGCTGTAAGCCCAGCACTTTGGGAGGCTGATGCGGGAGGATCACTTGAGGCCAGGAGTTTGAGACCAGCCTGGGCAACATAGTGAGACTCTGTCTCTACAAAACAACAACAACAACAAAAATTAGCTGGGCATATGGCACACACCTGTAGTCCTAGTTACTTGGGAGGCTGAGGGAGGAGGGTTGCCTGAGCCCAGGAGGTTGAGGCTACAGTGAGCCATGATCACACTACTGCATTCCAGCTTGGGTGACAGAGCAAGACTGTTACTAAAAACAAAGACATAAAAATGAAGGACAGATAAATTCAATCATATTAAAATTACAAATTTCTTTAATCAAAAAGCAACATTAAAAAAACAAAGGCTGGACGCGGTGGCTCATGCCTGTAATCCCAGCATTTTGGGAGGCTGAGGCGGATGGATCACCTGAGGTCAGGCGTTCAAGACTGGCCTGGCC